>NC_000001.11:229214424-229365939 GCF_000001405.40 Homo sapiens
CTTTAAAATGTTACTATTGGGGCCACGTGCAGTGGCTCACGCCTGTAATCCCAGCACTTTGAGAGGCCGAGGCAGGCGGATCACCTGAGGTCAGGAGTTCAGGACCAGCCTGGCCAACATGGTGAAACCCCGTCTCTACTAAAAATACAAAAATTAGCCTGGCATGATTGTGGGTGCCTGTAATCCCAGCTACTTGGGAGGCTGAGGCAGAAGAATCGCTTGAACCTGGGAGGTGGAGGTTGTAGTGAGCCAAGATTGTGCCATTGCACTCCAGTCTGGGTGACAGACGGAGACTCTGTCTCAAAATAAATAAATAAATAAATATAAAAAGTTACTACTGGACACATAAAAAAAATCCTGAGCAAATAATAAGACATATCATATTCATAGAGTGGAAAACACCATAAATGTCATTTCTCCCTAACTTACTCCATAAGTTAATAGCCCATAAATAAACTATCCCTATAAAATAATGAGATTTTTTAACTAGATAAGCTGATACTAAAAATCATATGTAGAAATAAACAAGCAAAGTAGTCAGGAAATTTCTGAAAAAGAAGAGTAATAATGGGTCATCCCGGACAAACATTGACATTATACAACTGATCATTGAAATGGTATTCATGAGAAACACACAGGCAGATAAATGGAACAGAATAAAAAGCCCATAAATAAACACAAGCATAAGAGATAATTTAGTATATGAAAAGGGTAGCACTTCAAATCAGTGCATAAAAGATGGTGTTAGAACAATTGGATAACCATTGAGGGGTAAAAATGAAGTTGAATTCACACCTCACATCTTACACCAGGATAAATTTAATACGGATTTAAATTTTTAATATAAAAAATTAAATCAGAAGTGTTAGAAGACTTGATGGGATATTTTTAAAATAATCTTGCTATAAAAAAAATCTAAGTGCAAAACACAACAGAAGCCACAAAAAAAAGACTGATCCAATCAACTATATACATTTTTTTTTAAGTTTGTAGGGCAAACCAACATAAGTAAATCTAAAAGACAAATGACAAACTAGAAAATACATTTGCATTCACGTCATTAACAGAGAGCTAATTTGGCCTAATACATAAAAAGTAAAGTAAACAAAAAGAAAAAAAAAAAAAAAAACTAGAACCCAATAGAACAAATAGGAATGGATATGGGGGAAAAACAGTTCCTTCAAAAGAAAATGAAAATAGATTTTAAACATAAGAAAGAATGTTGAAATCCACTTGTAATAAGAGGAATGAAAGTTAAAATTTCAATGGGACTCCTCTTTTTTTACCTGCAAGATTGCAAACATAAAAAATGATTATTATGGTGGCAAGGGTTTGTAAAATGTGAACACATAGATTGTTGATGGACGTGTCAGTTAGTACCTCCATGGTGGACAATCTGGCAATATTCATCAAAACTACCAAGCTCCCCCTGTAATCTCAGCACTTTGGGGGGCCGAGACAGGTGGATCACCTGAGGTCAGGAGTTCGAGACCAGCCTGACCAACGTGGTGAAACCCCGTCTCTACCAAATCTACAAAAATTAGCTGGGAGTGATGGTGAGCCCCTGTAATCTCAGCTACTCAGGAGGCTGAGGCAGGAGAACCACTTGAACCCAGGAAGCAGAGGTTACAGTGAGCTGAGATGGTGCCACTACATTCCAGCCTGGGTGACAGAGCGAGACTGTGTCTCAAAAAAAAAAAGACCAAAGCTCATATCCTCCTGCACCCAATAGTTCTACTTCTAGGAATGTAACCTGCAGTTATACTCGTATGTACGTTACAAAGGGAAAAGTTTGGAAATGACCTAAATGACCATTAATCAATTAACTAAATTATAGCTGTATATACACCATGGATACCATGCAGTCACAGAAGAACAAGATCCCTCATGATAGGGAATGATCTCCAAGAGATATTTTTAAATTGATGAAAGAAGCAAAGTACTAAACGGTATCTAAAATACACTAGAATCTTTTTTAAAAAAATGAAGAAAAATATATGCCTTAATAGAGACTATCTCTGGAAAGACACAGAAGAAATGAGAAGCATTGGTTGCCTCTGGGAGAAGTCATGACTGGGAGGCAGGAATGGCAGGCGCACTATTCCTTGGGTCCTCTTGGATAACATTGATTTTTCTTTTTTTTTTTTTTTTTTTGAGATGGAGTATCACTCTGTCGCCCAGGCGGGAGTGCAGCGGCACGATCTTGGCTCACTGCAGCCTCCGCCTCCCAGGTTCAAGTGATTCTTCTGCCTCAGCCTCCCGAGTAGGTGGGACTACAGGCATGTGCCACCATGCCTGGCTAATTTTTGTACTTTTAGAAGAGATGGGGTTTCACCATATTGGCCAGGCTGGTCTCGAACTCCTGACCTCAGGTGAGCCGCCCGCCTCGGCCTCCCAACGTGCTGGGATTACAGGTATGAGCCACCGACCCCAGCCTGATTTTTCAACTATACAAGTGCATTATCTACCCAACAAGTAAGTGTTAGAGAAAAATAAACAAATAAGAAAGAAGTAAATGCAGTCCCTTCTGGAGAAGAGAGGAGGAAGAATTGAGACTTTGCATGGAGCCAGAAGAGGAAGCCTGGAGGTGACAGTGAAGAGGCGTCCCCCACCCAGCCACAGACAGTGACCACCAGGGAACAAAAAGAGGAAGGCTGTAGCTGTTCTGGAAACCTGATGATTCCAAAGGTGAGATGGGAGGGACCTGAGAGTGGATTTCCAACTATTTCTCTCGTGAGGCCTTGAGATAAAAGCTTTGAGTTATTTTATTAGTAGTACTATTATTACTATTATTATTGGGACCCACAGTTTGATTTTTATCTGCAGAAAAATACATTCTCTGATAGTCAGGAATTCCCTCCCCAACCTCGCCATCTGGAGCCAAACTTTCTAAACGCTATTTCCCATTCACTTCTTCCCTTCAAGAAGGCTTTATGACAAGTCAAGGCTCTGTTTCCCATTCTCCTAGTCAACTGTGAGATCCAGACCTGGGCTGAGCTCCATAAAACAAGGGGGGCTCTATCTGTTCTTGTACTTAATCTTATTCTCCATGCCCTGCAAAGTGCCTGGTACACACATGGCATTCATAAAATGCTGGTTGAACAAACAGAAGAATAACTTCAAATACCTTGCGTGCTCCTCTCTCCCACCTCATTCCCATCTTTCCCTTTACTTCGTACTCTTTATGTGAATGCCCTGATTCCTGGGTCTTTCCTTGCCAAACACATCATTTAGGGATGGTTATACCAGGTCGGCAGCAGCAGCGGCATCACCATCGTCACCTCCACCACCTCTGGATCACTCCCTTGTTGTCAGTAACATTACTTTGGATTCCTGGGAAGATCGAATGACTACCAGACCATCTCTGAGGACACCATGCCTGCTGTGTCAGTGAAGAGACCCAGGGAAGAGCAGGGGACTTTAGCAAACATGGGACTGTCACTGGGTCTAAGTAGGTGACTTAATCCTAAACCGGACTCAGTTCCTGCCTCAGCAGGGTTGACTCAGCATCGAGTCTGCACGGGACAAGCATGACCAAGACCAGCCAGGAACAACTGTCATCCTACCACTCGCCGAGACTGTGTACAAACAGTCCACTGCCTGGAGGAGGCAGTGGAGATGCTACTTCCTGAAGTCACATCTACCGACCATCTGACTCAGAATTCCCTGAGGCGCTTGTGGAAAATGCAGATCCTCAGGCTTCACCCCATACCTCCTGGAGCGGACTGCCACAGTGGAACCCCTGTGTCTGTGTTTTAAACTCCCGGGAAATTCTAACACAGACAGCTGGGAAATACACCCCAAGAAACATGTCCCTAAGAAGTCCATATCTTTTGTCATTTTTTATTTTGAGATAATTTTAAACTTTAGAGAAGAGATTCAGGAATAGTACAAAGGACTCCCGTATCCCCTTCACTCACCAATTATTGACATTTTGCCGAATTTGCTTCCTCTCTCTCCAAATACATATACATATTATTATATATATATAGTCTTATATATATATATTATATATATATAGTCAACATGAAATAATCAAAGGGATCAGAATCCAGTTTTAAAGAGTTTATTCAAGCGCAAAGCTGAGAATGGCCATTCAGGTAACTGAACAAAACAGAAATAGACCCCACAGAAACGGGGTGAGCTCTCTGAAGTTAAAAGCTGTCTTGCTTATATAGGCAAAACAAAGTTTAGTAGGACTATGACATTTTCCATACAAGGCTGGATTTATGAGTTACAACAATTTAATTAGTTACAGTTTGTTTTCTTTTCTGTATAGCTTGTTTTCCTTTCCAATTTAAAAGAGCATATAGCATCCTGTCTTTG
Organism: Homo sapiens; assembly: GCF_000001405.40. Lineage (NCBI taxonomy): Eukaryota > Metazoa > Chordata > Mammalia > Primates > Hominidae > Homo > Homo sapiens. The sequence continues at coordinate 229,218,751 of NC_000001.11, forward strand.
ACAATGTAACAGCATACAGTCTTTGTATGAGAGAGGAGAGGGAGAAGTTAATCTATAATGAAGATTAACAGTTAAGTTACTTCTACAGAAAGAGAAGCAGCACCCGAAACAGCAAGGTCAACTATCATTTACTGAGCCAGGCACTAAGTTTGTTAAGTGTTTTCTTTCTTTCTCCTTCCTTCATTAGTTCCTTCCTTCATCCTTTCTTCCTTCCTTCTCTCTCTCTCTTTCTTTCTACTTTTTTTTTTCTACTTTCTTTCTTTTTTTTAACTTTTTTGAGACAGGGTCTTACTCTGTTATGCAGGCTGGAGTGCAGTGGCTCCATCTGAGCTCATTGCAACCTCTGCCTCCCAGGCTCAAGCGATCCTCCCACCTCAGCCTCACGAGTAGCTGGGACTACAGGCTAAGTGTTTTCTGTACATTCTGTCATCTAGCCTTCAAAACCAAAATCACAGAGGCTATTATAAATAAATTTTTTAAAGCCCCAGACAATAACAAGTGTCGACAAAGGTGTGGAGAAAACTGGAAACCTTGTGTGTTGTTAGTGAAAATATAAAATAGTGCAGTCACTGTAGAAAACAGTATGTTAGTTCTTTAAAAAATTAAACATAGAATTACTCCATCAAGTTTGGATATCCTGAGTAGACATCCAAAGGAATTGAAAACAGGGACTTGAACACGTATTTGTACACTCATGTTTATAGCAGCATTATTCACAACAACCAAAAGGGGAAACAACCACATGTCCATCAGCAGATAAATGGATAAATAAAATTGTTATGTCCATACAATGGAATATTATTCAGCCTTTAAAAAGGACATTCTGATACATGCTACAACCTGGGTGAGTGTTAAAAACGTTATGTTAAGTGAAATAAGCTAGTCACAAAATAATAAATACTGTAAGATTCCACTTACATGAGGTACCTAGAGTAGTCAAATTCATAGAGATTCAAAGTAGAATGGTGGTTGTCAGGGACTGGGGAGAGTGGGAAATGAGGTGTTACCATTTAATGGGTACAGAGTTTCAGTTTTGGAAGACGAAGAGTTCTGTGGATGGATGATGATGATGGTTTACAATAATGTGAATGTACTTAATCCTACCGAACGGTGCACTTAGTGTGAAAATAGAAAATTTTGTGTTATAAAAATTTTGCCTTAACAAAACAAATCCCACAAGTGAGGTGCTATTATTTTGCAGCTGTAGCAACCAAGGCACAAAGATTGTGGTGCAAGTGAGAAGCAGAAAAAGCATTCTCACTGGGCAGCTGGACTTTAAAATCTGGGCCCTATCTATTATCATATACCTTATGCTATCAATCATCAGCCGTCTACCATCCACCATCTACCATTCACTGTATTCCATATGCCATTCATCATATACCACATATACCACCTGCCATATGCCATATACCATCTGCCATCCATTATCTACCATTCATCATATACCATATATCATCTCCCATCTACCATCCACCATCCATCATACACCACCCACCATATGCCATCTGTCATCTACCATCCACTATTATCCACCATATTCCATATACCATTCATCATATATCATCTACCATCTACCATCCACCATCCACCATCTACCATTCACCATGTACTATCTACCATCCACCATCTACCATATTCCATATGCCATTCATCATATACCACCTATCATCCACCATCTACCATCTGCCATCTACCATCCACCATCCTCCACCATTTACCATGCACCATCTACCATATTCCATATACCATTTACCACATACCATGTATCATCCATCATCTACCATCTACCATCTACCATCCACCATCCACCATCATGCACCATTTACGATGCACCATCTGCCATCTACCACATACCACTGCCATCTGCCATCCACCATCCATCACATACCACCCACCATCTACCATCTACCATCAATTGTCTATCATCAACCATCTATCATGTACTATCCACCATTCTTCATCTACCATCTGTCATATGCCATTCACCATCCACCATCTACCATATACCATGTACCATCCAGCATATACCATCTACTCTCTGTCATCCACCATCTACCATATACTATCAACCATCTAATATCTACCATCCACTATCTACCATATACCATCTACCATCTGCTACATACCATATGCCATCTGCTTGGTAGAAACTTCCCCTTCGGGCACTGATGAAAGCTAAGTGACCTAAAAGAGTTGGCGTGGCCTTTCCAAGGTAGCTGGTTACAATCAGAGACTAACCCTCTACCCTAATCAGTTGTAATATGGCCACAAATTAGTAGTTGTCTAACTCTATCTACAATATGAAAGGGAATTTGAACCCAGAACTTACAAAACCAAAGTAAAGTCTAAGAGTTCTTCAATTGATTCGATTCTCTGATTTCCCAGATTTCAGTGAGGAGGCAGCTGCCAGCCCTGTCATTTCCAAATTGGTTTTCCCATTGGATACATCCACCCAAGGCCCATCTGGTAGTTACTGAAATGTGTCACAGGGGCAAACAACCAAAGGAAAATAATCATCAGAAAGCAACAGAAACACAAGTGTTTCAACCCTGATGAAATAGTCTTCCCAAGGCTATTTATACTGCGTCATCTTCAAAAGGTCACCAGGCACTGGATGACTTCATCTATTTACCTTGATTGAGCACAAAGTCCATGTCCTGCTTGTGGCAGTGGCTGCCGTCCCTGCCCCACACTCACCCCCACGACAGCCATGTTCCTGCTCATGCCCACCCTCCTCCACCCCACACTCACCTAGAGGAGGAAGGGGCCAGGGAAGCCTGCCACATCTGTCAAGACAACCTCCCATGCAGGGTCACAGCAGCAGGTAGCTAGTTTAAATTGTGGTATTTACAACCAAATGAAAGAGGTAAGGAGTCAAGTGGAGATCACTGGAAAGTAAACACTGCAAAACCTCCAAAACCAGAAGCCCAGAGGCACATTTTCTTTGGCAATAGGCCAACTATTTGTTCCTTTGGCAAGTGTGGGGTTTATTTAACTAGAAAAAGAGAGCCTGATTTAATTGTGTGCATGCATGTGTGTGTACATACACACACGGAAGGGGGGTGGTAACGGGGCTCCTCCAGCTAGTCAGAGTTTCTGCTCTCTTATGTCAGAAAACAGGCCAACACTCTGAAGTCAAAGTCAATTACTGAACATGGGTGTGCTCTTCCTCTTTATTTGCATTTCTGGAAAGGAAGGGGAGAAGGGGTATAAGTAATCATTGTTAAATGTCTGCTCTGACTGGATAGACGCTAGGCCAGTGGATGTTTACAGCAACAGCCCTCTGTTAGAAACACATTTCTATTGCAGCCCCGTACACACATACACACACACACATGCATACACACACATTTACACATATAGTTCATGAAAATGATATTAACTATTACTACATGTGAGGCACTCTGCTATTTTCTATTCTATTTCTTATGTCTTTTTTTTTTTTTTTTCATTTTTTAGAGACAGGTTTTTGCTCCATCTCCCAGACTAGTGTGCAATGGTGTGATCATAGCTCACTGCAAACTCAAACTCCCGGGCTCAAGCGATCCTCCTGTCTCAGCCTCCCAAATAGGTAGGACTACATGTGTGCACTATGCACCACTACACTCAATTAATTTTTTTATTTTTTATCTTTTTTTTTTTTTGTAGCTACAGAGTCTCGCTATGTTATCCAGGCTGGTCTCAAACTCCTGGCCTCAAGAGATCTTCCCACCTCAGCCTCCCAAAGTGCTGGTGTTGCAGGTGTGCACCACTACATCCAGCCTATATCTATTTTTTTTAATTGAGATGAAGTCTCACTCTGTCACATAGACTGGAGTACAGTGGCACAATCTCAGCTCACTGCAATCTCTGCCTCCTGGGTTCAAGCAATTCTCCCAGTCAGCCTCTCAAGTAGCTGGGATTACAGGCACGTACCACCACGCCTGGCTAATTTTTTGTGTTTTTAGCAGAGACAGGGTTTCACCATGTTGGCCAGGCTACTCTCCCAACTCCTGACCTCAAGGGATCTGCCCCCTCGGCTTCCCAAAGTGCTGGGATTACAGGTGTGAGCCACCACGCCCAGCCAAATTTTTTAATTGAAGTCTAACATATATACTAAAGTTCATGAATCCCAAGTGTAGAGGTTGATGGATTTTTAAGGGCATTTTATTGTATAACCAACTTTATTAAGATATGATTTATAGGCCAGGCGCAGTGGCTCATGCCTGTAATCCTAGCACTTTGGGAGGCCAAGGTGGGCGGATCACAAGGTCAAGAGATCGAGATCATCCTGGCCTACATGGTGAAACCCCGTCTCTACTAAAAATACAAAAAATTAGCCAGGCATGGTGGCACATGCCTGTAATCCCAGCTACTTGGGAGGCTGAGGCAGAATTGCTTGAACCCAGGAGGCAGAGGTTGCAGTACGCAGAGATTGTGCCACTGCACTACAGAGTGGTGACAGAGCGAGACTCTGTCTCAAAAATATGTATATGTGATTTATATACCACAAAATTCACCCACTTAAAGTGTACACAGCTCAGTAGATTTTCGTACGTTTCCAGAGTTGTACAATTATTATCACAATCTAATTTAGAACATTTACCTCACCCCATAAAGAAACTTTATACCCAATATCTATTCTAATTTTTTTAATGTCAGTCATAATGAAATGAAATCTATTTCATTCATGGGTCAGAATTGAGAATTGTAAAATCAATGTAGCTGTTTCAATAAAATGTCTCATTTATTCCTCACAAGACCTCAAAAGCAGGTGTTAACTATGCCCAGGTCACAGAACCGAGAGGCAGAGAGACGCACAACATGTCCAAGGTCACACACTCGTAAGCAACAGAACTGAAAGTCCAAGCTGGTCCTCCAGGCACCCTTTGGAGTTCTTCCAGTGGCATTGAGACAGCAAGAGCCGCTGTCTGTCCCCTGAAGGGTGAATGCTGCAGTCACAAAAGCAGGCCGGCCCCACACATATCTTTGCAGTGCTGGGAGCCACCGCTCGTGGTCAGCAAGGTGATCTCACTGCACAAAACTGATTACAATCAGAAATGCTGCCAGACAACCTGGGCTCAGAGCTCAGCAATGAAATTCATAACTGGGCTGAGCTGGGGTGATGCTTAGCACAGCAGGATTCGGAAGATGACTTTGAGAAGCAAACTAATAACAAAAGGCCTTCAGGAAGAATGCTGCCTCGAATTCTTTTAACCTGGAACAGATGACCATATTTCAGAAGCTGCAAACCATCACATGCATATATGGATATTTTTATAGCATTAAACTATTGTTGTCAAGTGAAAATTAGAGCAATTTCAGTGACATGCATCAAAAAATCCTACAGAACAATTAATTGTACAGCATGTTATAATGAAGTGCAGATGAAAAGTTCATGTTTTCTCTCATATCCCAACCCCTCAACGGGTGGAAAGGGGTGTGTGTGTGTGCGCGCGCATGTCTGTGTGTGTTTGTGTGTAGTGTGTTTGCATATATGTATGTTTATGTATATATGGGCATGTTTGTGTGTGAGTGTGTGTAGTGTGTGTTTATGTATATGTGTTTGGTTTGTAGGTATAAGTATGTATATGCATATATTTGTATGTATGTATTTGTATGTTTTGTGTATATGTTGTATGTGTCTTTGTGCATATGCGTGTTTGTGTATATTTGTGTGCATGCTTGTATTGTGTTTGTGTATGTTTGTCTGTGTAGTATGTGTTTGTGTGTGTTTGAGTATATGAGTGTGTTTATGTTTATATGTGTGTTTGAGTGTGTGTGAGATTCTGTGTGTGTGTGTGTGTGTGCTGCAACAGCAGCCGGGGAAAGGGTTAGGATGCATGGAATGGTGAAGGTGCTGGCCAGCCTTCCACTGCACATGCTATTTAATAAGCATATCTGACTCATCCACCACTTGGCTTGTTGGGTGGTAGAGGAGAGTGGAGGTCATTAGGAGAGGAAAGTATATTAGAAATGAGTGTTTTCCTTTCCAATCTAGCCCTATCCTGTTTCTAGATACCTCTAAGTTATTAAAGCAGGTTCCCTTTAGAGATCTGTTTCCTATTCTATAAGTAGAATTTATGTATTTGTTCAACAAGCATTGCCTGAGCACCTTCAGCTGGGACAGACAGCACAAAACTGTTTCATTTTCTCCCAGAAACTCCCTATTGGTTGGCGTCTAGGATCCTGTCTGAGATGTTCATGAACATACATTACCAACTTGGATGCTGGGGAAGAACGGAGTTTGGTCCATGCCCAAGAGCCATGCCAAAGAACCAGAAGCCCTACTCCCAATCTGAACACGCCTGTGCTTTGGGCTCAGATAAACTGACATCGCTCTAACTCCCAATCAAAGCCAGGGTTGGGGCCCCATGGAATAGCAGGGGCGGTGGGTGCAGAGCAGTGGAGCGAGCATCTGATGGGGCAGGGTGCGCACCTCGCCAAAGCTGGGTGTGGCTTTGTCACCCACCATTCTAGGTTAGGCTTGACGTTTCATGGACAATTCACAGCAATGGGGGCTCGCTCTGTAAGATGCAGTGCAGGGTTAAGGGGTGCGGATTGATCCCAAAAGAGAACAGAGCTGGTCTTGATAGAGGTTGGACCGCCTTAGAGCACAGGATGCTGGCACTGAAAAGCAGTGACAGGGCTGGGGTGCAGTTCAGGGCAGCTGGGCCCGGCCAGCAGCAGCTCATGGCTGGCGTCCTCAGCAGCCTCTGATCCCAGTGATGGCGTGACCAGGTCTCCCCTAGGAAATGGGTTCTTTTGAACTTTTCAGAGGTATGAAGGAAAGCCTCCCTTTTTATGAGTTCTGCTGCAGGCAGAGGAAGTGGCTGTGTGCAGAGGAGAGCAATTAGAGGCAAAGGTCGGCAAACTGCTCACCAGGCAGGGCATGCTGCAGCCTGTCGGGGATGGATGGGGTGTGGGCCAAGGCTCTAGTGCCCTCCTGCTGTGGGATCTGGGTGCGGGGAGGAGCTCCTGGACAAAGGCAGGAAGCCACTTCAAGGTATCCCCATTTGGGATGAATCCACTTTGACCCCACTTGCCACAGTACTCTGGAAGACAGTGGCTTGGTCCAGCTCCCCATTCATCCAGTGTTGTTAGGAATGTCTAAGCAGGCCAGGCACGGTGGCTGACGCCTATAATCCCAGCACTTTGGGAGGTCAAGGTGGGCAGATCACCTGAGGTCAGGAGTTCGAGACCAGCCTGACCAACATGGAGAAACCCCAACTCTACTAAAAATACAAAAAATTAGCCAGGCATGGTGGCACATGCCTGTAATCCCAGCTACTCGGGAGGCTGAGGCAGGAGAATTGCTTGAACCCGGGAGGCAGAGGTTGCGGTGAGCTGAGATGACGCCATTGCACTCCAGTCTGGGCAACCAGAGCAAAACTCTGCACCAAAAAAAAAAAAAGAAAAAAGAAAAGAAAAAGAAAAGAAAAGAAAGAAACTTCTAAGTAGCCCATATCTAATCTGGTGGTGGGAGATAGTTAGTTCTTTTTTTCCCCAGCAATTCTGCGTCCCAAAGTGCCCTATCACATCCTAGAGCCACACAGCTCTCCTGCGGGGATCTAGACCAAGATTAACACATGACGTGCTGCATCCCACAAGGTGGACACCCCTTCCAGTGTGCCCAGGATTGAGTGGCTTCCTGGGATGCAGGACTTTCAGGGCTAAAGCCAGAACAAACTGGTCCCCTACCCACATGACCCTTATCCCTCCAGAAAGAGACCCAGGCCTTCAAAGGAAACAAACTAAGCTACCCCTGTGGACAGAAGGCACCTAGACCAGCCCCCCAGTTGGAAGACAGACCCAGCATCATTTGAAGATTAGAGGTGTGGAACCTTCCAGACTAGTCCCCAACCAAACCACTGGTGCCAATCCAGGCCTGAATGGTCCCCTAAGCCAGGCTGAGCCGAGCCTGGGCACTGAGCTGTACCCTCCTCTGAGCCAGCTGAGGTTGTGTCCCCATCCCACCCACCCACCCTCTCTGGGATCCCAGGTCCCTAGAGCAACTCTTGTCACATCTGACCAGGTAGGTGCCTGGGTATGGTGAGGATGCACACCATCCAGGGTGATGCCCACATGGCACTGCCAGTTCTGTGCATCGGGCTATGAAGAACACTCTCGTGGGGTTTATTTTTGCTGACATCTCTTAGCCCTGGTAGGGTGGAGTGGGGTTGGGGATGGGTGCAGTGTGAGCAAATTGTGGCTAATTTTGCTTCTGCTGACCAAGAGACTAGATGAGGTTTATAGAATGCACGTAAAAAGCTGAGGGAAGTGGAATGGGGTTTCCACTGGCCTTCTTTTCACCCTGTGGGTGGCTCAGCCTCCCCTCTGTATATCCCAGCCCTATGCCTACAGAGGCTCCCTTGTACCCACAGGCGTTGGTCTCAGGCCTGGATACAGGGAAATGAAGAGCATGGAGAAAAAGTGAGCAGGAAGGGAGAAGAAAAGGAGGTGGATGGGTAAGGAGAGAAAAGACAGGGCCCCAAACTTGCCTCAGTGCCCTGAGTAAAGATGCTTACCAATTCCTAAATACCGCAGTGGCTAAGAGCTCTACATCTATCAGCCACATGCTGACTCCTCCAACAACTCTAGAAGCCAGGCTGGCTTCTGTCCCATTTTTACATAAAAAGAAACTGCCTCAGAGAAGCTGAGCAATTTACCCACAGTAACACAGCAGTCAGTCTCATCACAGGGAGGCGTGACTGCAAAGCTCTCAGCAGCGATAATATACAGCTTTCTGTCTTTTAAACTTCTATTTGTAGAAGTACACGGTGAATCTCCATGCCAAGGAAGCTTTCTATCATCCTAACTGAAAGACCTACAGGCACCGAACTCATTAACAGAAGTACCTGGGGAGTCAGAACCCCTCGCCTGAGTGCTGGGAACGGCTGATGCGCGCCCCCTGCCGGCTGTTCCGAAAACAATCAAATAACGTGAGGCTGGCAGCCTGGACCGGGATGCTTCACAAAGAAACGAGAAAACGGCAGCCATGCTGAGACTGTTCTGGATTTGGAATATGCAATTCTGGAGACAAGAGAGAAAAGAGAGGAGTAATTCAAAACGGCTAGTTCCCTAGAGGAATGTTTGAGAGAGTGGTTGTAAAATGCAAATGGCCTTTCAGCTTGAAAATTTGCAGTGGCAGGTAGATTCACACAACCTGAATTCAGAATACAAAGAAAAGGCAAGAAATGAGATGTAATCCTTGACTAAAAATAAAAACAATCACAAAAGCCATACATAGATATATAGAAAATGTTGACAAAAACAATATTTGAGTGCTTACTATGAGCCAAGTACCATTCTAAGAGCTTTGCCTTTATTATCTCATCTAAGCTTCATAGCAATTCTATGAAATAATACTGATTTATCAGATGTGGAAAATAGGGCATACAGATGTAAAGCAACTTGTATAAGGCCAAACAGCTAGAAAGTAGCAGTACTTTACAGGGATAGATACAGTAAACAAAAGGCAGGTGGAAGAGGGATTACAGGTTGCTCTTATCCAGAGTGGTTGCAGCCAGGTGCAGTAGCATGTGCCTGTAACCCCAGCTACTTGAGAGGCTGAGACAGGAGGACCTTTTGAGCTCAGGAGTTTGAATCCAGCCTGGGCAATATAGCTAGACGCCCTCCCCCTTCCCACCCCCCCGCCGCCGCCATATCTAAAAAATAAAAAATGTCAGGCGTGGTGGCTCACACCTGTAATCCCTACACTTTGGAAGGCCGAGACTGGAGAATTACTTGAGCCCAAGAATTCAAGACCAGCCTGGGCAACATAGCAAGACCTCTCCCCACCCCTATATGTACAAAAAAATTTTTAAAAATTAGCCAGGCATGGTGGTGCTCCTGTAGCCCCAGCTTCAGGAGACTGAGGGGGGAGAATCACTTGAGACCAGGAGGTTGAGGCTGCAGTGATCACGCCACTGCATTCAGCCTTGGTGACAGAGTGAGACCCTGTCTCAAAAATAAATAAATAAATAAATAAATAAATAAATAAATAAAAATGCTTGAGACCAGAAATGTTTCCAATTCGGGAATTTTTTGGAATATATAAGATATATTCCAAAGTCAACATTTTTAAAAAGATATATAATGAGGTATCTTGAAGATGAACCCCAAATCTTAAGACAAAATTCATTTATGTTTTATATATAAACCCTTATAAACACAGCTTCCAAGTAATTTTATGCAATATTTTTAATAATGTTGTGCATGACAAAGTCTTGAATGTGTTTTGACTGTGATCTGTCACGTGAAGTTAAGTGTGGAATTTTCTACTTGTGGCATCATATTGCTGCTCAAAAAGCTTTGGATTTTAAAGCATTTTTGATTTTGGATTTTCGGATTAGGGATACTCCACCTGCCTAGACTGCGGGAACAAATATGCCGGCTTCCCACGCGTGGGAAGTGATAGTGTTTTCCAGGAGTGATGAGGTATTTGAGCTGCCTGTTGCTCCTTCCTTATTCCCATTCCCCTTGTAACCAAAACAAACAAACAAACCAGCTAGGCATGTGTAAGCCCGAAGGCTAAGGTTGCTCATGTCTGGCCACAGTAAAGAAGAAGCCCAACCAGCTCCCCCTCCCAGAACTGGAATTTCTGTCCCCTGTACCATGAAAACATCTCACCTCCTGAGCTGAGTAGCCACAGAGACAAAGAGGGTAAGGAAGGGAAAGAACCTTAGGCTTGGGGCTGTTTCCTATACCTGTGGTTTTTAAAAGGAATCTGGCATTCCTAGGCAGACAAGAATGCAAACTGGCCAAGGTACAGAGACACCTGAATCCTGTTCCTCAGACCCAGAGAGACGCTGGGAGGTCATATTTCCTGCTTTGTTTTCTGCTGTAAGATTCCGCTGTAACTCCTTGCCTAACAGAAGTGGGTGAGTGAAGGCAGCAACGTTTCCTACAGCGGACCTCCGTGTGACTCCAGCTCCTCCCTAAAACATAAAGCCTGCTAGAGCATGGGGCTGAAGAGAGTGAAGAGAAATCACTGCGTGGCTTTGGGTGTCAGTGGCAGGTGTTCTTACTGTATAGAGGGGAGCTGAAGACTCCCTGGACGCAAGTCTCCACCCCAGTTAGAGGGAGGAGTTGGTAAACTGGGGGAGGCGGCAGAGAAAAAGTTTCAACCTCAACACTGAAAAACAGCCTGGGGATCTTGGCAGGGTTTTAGCCCTCACATCTGCCTTCGAATGAGGGACTTCCAGCTGACCTCTGACAGTGTCCTCCAGTATTATGCAAGGGCAGAGTTAAGCTTTTGGCAGCAGGCAGGAGCACAGAAGTGCCAGGGACATTCTGTTAACAAAGCACAAAGGGTAGAAGGAAGGAACAAGCCATTCTTGTCCACTGTGCAGACTGAGCTCCATTGTGTTGATCCAACATGACAGAATTTGTTTCATTAAAGACTCCCTCCTCACCACCACTGTCAAAGCCAAATCCCTCCAAAAGCCAGAACCCAAGCCCCAATGTGCTGCAAGGATTCTGCAGCTCTGCAGTCAGTGGGTGAAGCCCAAAGCTCCAGCGAAAACCCAACTGCCCAGATCTGCAAGCTGTGGGGAGGGCAGGCCATTTGGCCGTAACCCACCCACTCAAGGGATCGCTCCTTTCCACTTGTCTGGGCAGAGTGGGAAGGAGAGCCTCCAGAAACCGGCGGGGAGGAAGTTTGCTGGGGCTCCACTGTGTCACTGATTTATGGAAGCCTTTCAGGGCCAGAATGACACCATCCGCCTACCTCCTGCTAATTCATATTCTCAGAGCTTTAAATCATGGTGACAGCCCCACCAGGCGCTCTGATCAGTTGAGGGCTTCCAGGGCCCTGCGGGCCAGAGCACCCCACAGCCGCACTGCAGGTTACACCCCCACCTGCCCCAAATACATCCCAACTCCTGCTGCTCTCGGGCCCTCTGCTCAATCCGATAATCCACGGAGAAATGACCTTCCTTTCACTGATGTAGAAGCTCTCTCAACTGAAAAAATTGCAGAAGTTAGAAAAAAATAATTGACATTATGACTCACCCCTACCTCCTACTATTGCTAAGCTTCGAAGTAAACACCTGCTACTGTAAACTGAATAAATGCTAAATCACTAAGATCTTTTGTTAAACAAATTCTGCCACACCACTGCTGTCTTGCTGGGCTGGAGGAATTTTCTGATCGCCCAAAGCATCTTGAGTGCTGTTATTTCCAACCTACCTTTAAATGTGAGACCAAACCTTTGAAGTATACTGCCTCTTGCAAAAAAATAAAAATAAAAACCACACACACTAAAAAGCCTGATTATTTCTGAGGAACACCACAGTAGTTCACTCTCTGTGTGGTAGCTATAGTCAAAAGCACAAAAAACAGAGCAGGTAGAAGCAGAAATTAGGCGGGAAATAAAGACCAAGCTGGCGAGAAATTGGAGAAAGGCTTTCCAAAGCAATGTGACAAGGAAAAGGGAAACTTGAGAAAGATATTTTTCTCTGAGATCAGAGCTGTGCTCCACAGCCAAAGTTAAGGTGAGCCCTGCAATTGTCAGCCAGTAAGCATCTATTATGCTCCCAGTACACACCTGGCCTTGTATTTGGAATTAGAGGTCACCTCCGAGTTTACCTAAGCTCTTCTAGAAAAACAGATCCACCATTATACATTTAAATTATCCAGTCTGCTATGTGGCTTTTCCTGTCCTGCTTCTTGTGACGTAAGGGATTCTGTCTTTGAAACAAGGGGGCCAGAGATGTACTGTGATCCATAAATTCAACTCGGGATCAAACAAGATACTCAGGACCCTGGGATCTTGGCCAGGACGTGCCCTAACTTGCTTCATGTACAATGGGCTGTCATGTCACTGTTCTCTCAAAAACTCCAGACGGGAAGTAAGGGTTGTGACTAATTTCAAAGGGCACAGCGGGGAGCCACACTGCCTGGAAAGCAGGCTGCAGGCATTGCCTCCCGGGGAGTTTGATTCTGAGTTTTATTCTAACATGATCAAAGCAGTAGTTGGGGTGGGGAGCATTCTGAAAAGGAGGCATCAGATTAGGACTATCTGAATTTAAATTCTATTTCTACTTGGGAAAATATGCATTTAAATCATTGACAGCTTCAAAATTCTAATGATTCTGTGAACTATTGGAATTAGTAAGAGACTCATCAAACCAAGAGTAATTAAATGACCAGCTGTGGGCAGTGTGGGACTTCAGACAAAGCAGAGAGAGGTCTGTGTGAGGAGGCACAAGCTTGGCCCTCTGTGGGGCGGGGTGGGTGGTGATTTTGGTCAGGAAAATACACCAGCAGCAAAGGCACCACTGCCAGTCCACACGTGGGCTCTTAGTCTTGAGCCCCTCCACATTGATTTCTTTCCCTTACTGTACCTATGTTAAGGCACGGAAGTTTTCACCATGGGCATGTTTAGGTGAAGCCCGCTGTCCACAATGACCTGGGCAGGTGGGAGGCTCTCCAGGGACCCTTCTCTATTTGCCTAGGCATTTGGCTCTCTCCTGCCTCTATCACAGGTAGACCGGCCTCTTAGACTAAGCCACTGGACAGCTTGGGGAAAATGGGGCCTCTCTGATGGCTTTTTTCTTTAGGATAAGTTTCAAGTGCTCTAACAGAGACTCACAAGAATCGTGGCTTAAACAAGATAGATGTCTATTGCTCTGTCTCCCAGTCGTCCAGGCAAATAGTAAGTCAAGGCTGGAATGGCAGCTGCACAGGATCTAAGACCCTGGTTCCTCTTTTCCAGTTGCTCTGCCATCTCTACGGTGCTGCCCTTGTTGGCATTCTCCAAACTGGCTTCCCCGTCCCCACAATGTTCTAGGCAACAGGATGGAGGATGGGATAGAAAAAGATCACACCCCTTCCTGTTAAGGATATGATCTAGAAGTTACATCCAATGATTTCACTCACAGTCTTTTGGCCAGAACTGAGTGTGTTACCACACCCAGAGACAGGGGCATCTAGGAAATAGAGTCTTGATCCTAGGCCACCCAAATGCAAATCCTATCACTATCAAAGGAGGAATGGATGGATATTGGGGCTCCACCAGGCAGTAACCACTACCCATAGCACCTCACTTAAAACAACACATCACATCATTTTCAAGCAGTGTACAAAGAATGGCCCAAGATAATGATAGTATTGAAAAACCACCTTTGCAAAAATTATAACAGTGAGAAAATTATGACAGTGAAAGAGATCTGATCTAACCAATCCCCATCTTGTCTTTAACCTCCAAACTGCCTTGGTCATTCCTGGGCTTGGGCCAAGCTAACTTGGGGAGTTACAAACTTTAGTTTACAGTTTAAATGATAATAGTCCTTCCCCAAAACTGAACTGCCTTTGTAAAATGAATAAAGGACCACCCGGTTAGGAGGATGAGAGAAGCCTGAATTCTGCTAAGATGTAGGTGTGAACAATTACCAGCCATTATTCTGTAGGTCACAAGATTTGCAACTTCCCCAGTTACTCCTGAGGATAACATCCCTCTTTTTTTTTTTTTTTTTTTTTTGAGACGGAGTCTTGCTCTGTCGCCCAGGCTGAAGTGCAGTGGCGGGATCTCGGCTCACTGCAAGCTCCGCCTCCCGGGTTCACGCCATTCTCCTGCCTCAGCCTCCCAAGTAGCTGGGACTACAGGCGCCCGCCACTACGCCCGGCTAATTTTTTGTATTTTTAGTAGAGACGGGGTTTCACCGTTTTAGCCGGGATGGTCTCGATCTCCTGACCTCGTGATCCGCCCACCTCGGCCTCCCAAAGTGCTGGGATTACAGGCGTGAGCCACCGCGCCCGGCACATCCCTCTTAAAGAACCTAAAATTGGTCTTTGGAGATGTCCTTTCAGGATTTTGCATTTCTCATGACCAGATGACCGGACCTTGACTCTTGGCCCAACCAGTCCTGCGGACCCACCCAGAAGCAGACTTAGTGCACAAGGACCATTTTCCACATCCCTATGATTGCATCCCCAACCAATCAGCCGCATCTGTTCCCCTCGCCCCCTGCCAGCCAAGTAACCCTTGAAAAACCTAGCCTCAGAATTTTCCGGGAGGTCGACTTGAGTAATATCTTCATCTCCCACATGGTGTGGCCAGCCTCATGTCAATTAAACTCTTTCTTTATTGCAATGCCATGGTGTCATTGAATTGGTTTTGTCTGTGCCGTCGGCAGGAAGAACCCATCAGGTGATTACAATATCATTATCAGAAACAAGAGGAATGGGGAGGGGAGCCAGCAACTGAAATTGGATGATTCATTTCAGAATGCTAAATGGACCTCTGAAGGGACATTGGCTTGGAGATCTGGCACTTTAGCTCAGGGGAGAAGTCAGATTTGGAAACCAAGGTGGCAGGCATGATGGGAGAGAGCAGGGATGCCCTCCAACAGTGAGAGGATGTGGCTTATCTGGGACTGTCACAGTACTGTGGCTATTATCTGAAACTGTCTCCCCAAAGACACTGTAAATCCTGCTCTCCAGTAGTATTCCATGTTCTGAATGGCACTAGTGTTTAACCTTGGGTGAAAACGTGTTCCTTTTTCCTATCAAGTCCGTATTTGAAGACTTGATTGGCAATGACTGCTCCTAACTAGGCAAGCTGGCACCTTCTTGATGTCAGTCCCTTTTAGCGAATGTGTACACACTGGTAGGGGGCAGAGGGGAAAAGACAGGAAAAAGAAAAGTGCTGAGAATTCCAGGTCACCCACTGCAGCACAAGCTGGCTACCTTTTCTCTGGCAGTTGTTGTTAAGAGCATTTTCCAGCACCCTGAAGTTTTCATCCCCCATTGTTCAGCCACCCATTTCTAAAGAGTTAGCATAATAAGTGGGATCAGGGGTTAGGTGGACTGGGCACCAGCACCTTAACCCTGGGGGTAGAGATAGATTTCTGGCTTTTAGGAGTGAAGTTGATTTTAGAGTATAAAATGCTGCCCCCACCCCATTCCAGGGCTGCTGGGTGTAAAAGGAAAAGAAATCTTGGGACCCCAAAATCACTAAGCCAAAGGGAAAAGTCAAGCTGGGAGCTGCTTAGGGCAAACCTGCCTCCCATTCTACTCCTGAAAATGATAGCTACTAAGATCTTTTTTAAAAGCTACAAACCTCCCTCACAAGGCATTTCCTTACGGACAAAGGACAGACAGAACTCGAAGTCATCCCTCTGCTCACTGAGATAAATGCATATCTGATTGCCTCCTTTGGAAAGGCTAATCAGAAACTCAAAAGAATGCAACCATTTTGTCTCTTATCTACCTATAACCTGGAAGCCCCCTCCTCACTTCGAGTTGTCCGGCCTTCCCGTACAGAACCAATGACGGAGTGGGAAGATGATCTTCCCCTGGAATTTGGACATCCAGTGGCCAAACTCCTCTTCGACTGCCCCGCAGCCGAATACCTCTCAGTGCTCAGACATTCTCCTCTTTCTCTGCCGTGCCTTTCTGCCATTCGTCTGCTTGTCTCCTTGTCTCCTTGTCTGCTTCTGGAGCCTGGGGTTTGGGGTTTATATGGGTACAGGATGGCCAAAAGGCAACCTTTTGGGTGTGAAAACAGGAATCCCTGTCCTCCTTTAGGGTCACGGGTATCTGGGCTTCAGGGTGGGGGCCTTTGCCGGAGAACCGCCCTCTTCTACCCAGTGTTTCCCTGTCTCCTGTCCGTATCACCAGCAGATGGTGCCTACTTTTTTAAAGCCATCATCTTATCTTCTAGCTGTACCTATTTTTTTAAATATATGTTTTATTTCAACAGCTTTTGGGATACAAGTGGTTTTTGGTTACATGGATGAATTGTCTAGTGGTGAAGTCTGAGATTTTGCTACACTCTTCACCCGAGTGACCCCAGTAGTGTACATTGTATCTAATATGTAGTTTTTTTATCCTTTATCCCCTCCCACCCTGTATCTATTTTTAATTGCTTTGTGAACTAAGGCAAATGTGATAAAGAGGCATCTGATGTACCTGCTTCTAGCATACAAGAAAACATATTTCTTGAGCATGCTGTTACATGCTTGACACTTTATATACACTATTTCATTTAACATCCCAACAATCCTAAAACCTGGGTTTTGTTATTGAAGAACCCAAGGCTCTGAGAGTTAACTAACTTGCCCAAGGTCACACAGTTAGCAAGTTGTGTGGGCAGGATATAAGCCCAGTCTGGCTGCAAAGCTATGTTCTTTACACTGTAACTTACTCCTGAAGGAAGGAGGCTTAAAAATAATCCATGCAGAATTTGTATCAGCTTGATATGTGTGCCTTATTATTATTATTATTATTATTATTTTGAGACGGAGTCTTACTCTGTTGCCCAGGCTGGAGTGCAGGGGCGTAATCTCGGCTCACTGCAACCTCCACCTCCTGGGTTCAAGCCATTCTCCTGTCTCAGCCTCCTGAGTAGCTGGGATTATGGGCGCCCACCACCATGCCTGGCTAATTTTTGTATTTTTAGTAGAGACAAGGTTTCACCGGGTTGGCCAGGCTGGTCTTGAACTCCTGACCTCAGGCGATCTGCCCACCTTGGCCTCCCAAAGTGCTGGGATTACAGGCATGAGCCACCACACCTGGATTGCCATATTATTTTAATAGAATAGGATAGGACAAAACTTAGAAGGTATTGGATACCATTTTCCCTGTTGAAGGAGTATTGGTAAGACACCGTCAAAGAGAAATGCACCGCGTACACACGAAGAGGAACCATTTGTAGGTGGTACATAAAAGGGTAAAAAATAGGCCGGGCGCGGTGGCTCACGCCTGTAATCCCAGCACTTTGGGAGGCCGAGGTGGGCAGATCACAAGGTCAGGAGTTTGAGACCAGCCTGGCCAACATGGTGAAACCCTGGCTCTACTACAAATACAAAAATTAGCTGGACGTGGTGGTGCATGCCTGTAGTTCCAGCTACTCAGGAGGCTAAGGCGGGAGAATCGCTTGAATTGGGGAGGCGGAGGTTGCAGTGAGCTGAGATCGCACCACTGCACTCCAGCTTGGAGGAAAGAGTGAGACTCCTTCTCAAAACAAAAAAAAAAAAAGGTTAAAAAATAATTATAAAAGGAATATACCCAGAGTTTTTTTATTAGAAAGTGTTGTATAAAATCTTGAAAGTAGAATAGTTCTATAAAATGTATTATCTATAGATCAGTAAGAGAAGATATAAAAAGACATATTTTTAAAACTAAACAAAATGAAAATGGAAAAGCAACATTAATATTATATGTGGTGTCAAATTAGCTTATTAAAAGAAATATAAAATCTAAAATCATATTAACTTATTAAAAGAAATATAAAACCTAACAGAAAAACTAAAATTAGAGGACAGAAATACCATATGTCAGTGGAGTTTAAAGCAACTGGAGCTGTGATACACCGCTGATTGGAGTGTAAATTTTTTTGTTGTTTCCTTGAGAAACTATTTGACGTTACCTACTCAAACTAAACATACACCTATACTCTGACCCAATAATCCCACCCCTAGGTAAATACTCAAAACAAAATGAATGCATGTGTCCACGGAAGGACACACACCTGCGCATTCACACCAAGTGTATTTACAATAGTCAAAAACCAAAATAAGTCAATTACCTGTTAACCATAGGTAGATATTTTCGGTCTCTTGGCTTTTAAAGCCTTCCATGATTTCCTATTGTTTTCTGACCAATTTTATTTCTTGTTCCTATTACCTAAAAGCTCACAGTTCCAAACAGGTGAGATTCCTTGGTCCCCACTGGATGTGACAAGGAAATATGTTAGGGACTCTGCACATTCGGGCAGCTGGGTCAAAGGATGGACAAACCTTGAGGGTTAGAGAATTAATTGCCCTGGGAAGGTCTCTGCAGGTTTATCTGCCTGGAGCGAGGTGTTTACCTTTCAAAGAGTAATAAAACCTGGATCCATTCACTTTGGTTTTGAATGGCCAAAACAATCCAGGGATTGTTAAGTGCTGTGACTTAAGAAAGGAAGCAGCCAATTCACAAAAGAGTGAATAAACATATACAAATGTCCAAGCTCACCAATACAGAAAAAAAAAAAAAACACAGCTCAATAACATTTTTCATTTATCAGTCTGGCAAAGAGTTTCAAAATTTTTTAACAGCCAGTGGTGGAAAGGCGCAGGTGAGCCTTCTCACACACGGGGATGGAAGTTACTTTGGAAATAAGTTAAACGCTTTAACTCACACACACCCATTGTTCGTTTTTGGAATTATCCAAAGGAAATATAGTGGATCCATGCAAAGACAGCAATTTCAAGAGGCTCATCACAGGGTTATTTTTGATAGAAAAACCTAACAGTCCAACAATAGGATGCTGGTTAAATAAGGTATGATATACCCATCCATTCTGAAATGCTGTAAAAAAAAAAAAAAAAAAAGTATTTAATGGCATGAAAAATGTTCACAACCCATTGTTTAATGAAGAACAAATTATAAACAATATGCAAAGTGTGTGAATATATAGGTACTGTACATGTGCACACATATGTGTAATGTCAAAGACAGAATTACAACAAATTTTGTTATAGATCTCATTGACTTTTATTGGCGATGAATCAGGGCAGCCTCCATTCTACAAAATAGAATGAGAGCTTCCACCAGGCAATGGCAGAACCGTGGGTTTTGTAAGGTAGAAACAAGGAATAGAACAGTAGGAAAAAACTGATTAGTTAACATCAGGTTACTTCAGGTTGCTTTTGTAATAAGGGTTAAAGCAGAGGGGACTTCCTTATATACTGCTGACTCAGGAAGGCTGGAATCTCCTGTTTGCAGGAAAACTTGGTCTGTTTTGGAAATCTATCTGCTTCTTTAAAGTTTTAGTCTGATTATGTGGCATTTAGCATGAGCAACTTCATTTTGATTTGGTCTGGTCTATTGGAGCCTAGTGCAGGAACTCAGTCTAAGACAATGGCCTCTCATAATTTTTGTTTAATGATAGAAAAACACTGGAAGCCTATATTACCAAACTGGTGGGAATATGGGATATTTAAATTTTCTTCCTTCTGCTTATCTATGTTTTCTAAGTTTTCAAAAATGAATACTCATTACTGCTGGATTAAGAAAAAGAATAAACATTATTATATTTAATAACACAAAGGAGCAAACTGAGAACTGGATGCAGCTTGGTAGTTGCCCGGGCAGGACACTGTCCCAAGCTAAGCTCCTCCCCAACATCCCTCAGGCCCAGAGCCAGCCCTTCCTCCTCCCGAGCGCCCTGCCCTGGGATTCTCAGACCTTGAAAGCCACAAGTCTTGAAAGTCTCTGAAGGAAGAGACAGGGAGCAAATGGAGTTTCTGATGCTTCTCCCAGGCAGGTGGGATCATGATGCAGGATTTTTCTTGGCCCCTTTGTGGGACTCACAATGGTGGATCCCCATCTACTTGGCCCACTGTACTCAGCCCCTTGCAAGAGGGAGCACATGAGCAAGCAAGTGCAGGATCCAGCTGGCCGCTCCAGGCACTAGCAGGAGCAAGCTCCATGCAGGGCCCATGGCCAGACCAGGCATGAGTAAATGAGTGTGGGATCCAGCTGGCTGCTCTGGGTGCCAGCAGGAGCAAGCTCCATGTGGGGCCTGTGGCAGCGCCTAGGTGGGGGCACCCACAACCCCAAAACCCCAGAGGGAGTGTTACAGTGCTCTCTTAGTTCCCCCATCTGCAGACAGTTATGTGTTAGCAGCTCAGTTGGCCATTTGTCTTGCCACACGGGGCAGCTGCTCTTCACCAGCAAGGGCAAAGGGCCAGTGTGATGGACTTTCTGGGTACCCACACTTGGTGGGTCCCAAGCTCTTGTCTGGTGTCCAAGAAGAATGAGATCACATGGATGAACTGAAGGATGGTGAAGGCGGAGAATTTTATTAAGCAATGAAAACGACTCTCAGTGGAGAGGGGAGCTGGAAAAGGGATGGGAAGGGCAGGTCACCTTCCACAAAGTCAGATTGTCTCTTCCCAGAATTCAAGCCATCTCTCTCCAAAGTCAAGCCGTCTCTCTTGAAGTCTGGCCATCTCCCCCAAAGTTCAGCCATCTGTCTCTACCAACTGAGTCTGGAGTCTTTATAGGCACAGGATGGGAGTGGGGTGGGCCGTAGGTAGTTTTGGAAAAGGCAACATTCAACTGGTAAAAAGACATTATTCATAAAGAACCAATCAGGAGAGAGTGGGCAAATGAGAATAGTTCTCACTTTGGGCTGGGCACAGTGGCTTATGCCGATAATCCCAGCACTTTGGGAAACCAAAGTGGGTGGATCACCTGAGGTCAGCTGTTTGAGATGAGCCTGGCCAACATGGTGAAACCTCATCTCTACTAAAAATACAAAAATTAGCCAGGCTTGATGGGGCACACCTGTAGTCCCAGCTATTTAGGAGGCTGAGACAGGAGAATCGCTTGAACCCAGGAGGCAGAGGTTGCAGTGAGCGGAGGTGGTGCCATTGCACTCCAGCCTGGGAAACAGTACGAGACTGCCTCAAAAAAAAAAAAAAAAAAAAAAAAAGTTATCACTTTGGGCTGTGGGTTTCAGGCTACTTTGGCTTGAAGGTGGGGTTTCACCTGGGACCCATCCCTGTCTGCTTAGAATTTCTCTGCCTCCTGTTTCTATCAATGAGATCTTACCAATATCTCTGAACCCATGATGTTCCCTCCATATGCTCGTCAGGTGCTAACCTACAGTATTAATACTTCAGTCCACTGTGGGTTAAATAGGTATATGTGAGCTGGGTGAGACCTGACCGCAATTGTTTCTAGGAGAGTACATTCCAGGATCCAAACAGTTGGCTTAATTAGACACTTTCAGCACCTAACATACAGGTAATTGAGAATTGCCTTTACACAGCTTTCAGTACATTGAAATTGTTTAATCACAGCCAGCAATGAGGATTCCTCAAAGAAGAGCTGTTCTCAAAGTTTCCATTGTGAAGAGCCCCTTTTTGCTATTGTCCTGAAGTAGCAATCCCATGATGGAAACAGAGAGCCAAAAAAAAAGATCGTGGCTACATTATAATGGACTTGGTGAGCATGCACTGACCTTACTTGCTCTTTAGGGTGAGTGGACATAGGGGCCCATCAACCCTGCTCCAGCCAGCACCTGGTCAGAGTCACTAACTACAACAATGACACCATGGGGACCCCTGGGGCTGCTGTCTGTGGGGCTTTGTATCTTGGCCAGTAAAGCCATCCTAAGGTCAGGGCCAAAACCAGAAGCAGAGGGGGCCCGGCCTCAGCTAACAATACTGTGGGGAAGTTCAGCGAGGCTGTCAGCCCCCTCCAGCCCCCAGTCACTCTTGAAGGGTTGTGACAGTCACCCCCTGCTGCTGGCTCTGAAACTACCCTCCCACCCACCCCCCTCAACTGACTCCTTTAGGGACTGCTTACCCACATAAAAACAAAGAAATTTTTCTTTTTTCCCCAAAGTAGGTAAATATGGATGTGAAAAGTGGGCAGTGGTCCAAAAGGAAAAATGATGAACGACTAGAGGCCTGTGCTTAGAGCTGTCCACCCACTGCAAGTGTTTGGCAGGGCCCTGGAGTCTAGGCACTTCCATTTTGTTTCCCAAGTGACCATGATTGGTCAATACCTAGGATATCTTTTCTTTAAATGCTTGATAATGAACATACCTGTACCTACCCATCATCATCCTTAGAAAACACCACTTTACCAAAAGAGAGAAGGGGGTGATTATTCGTCCCCTAAAGAAGGAACTCCTGAAGCCCCCTTTAAGTATTAACTTGTCTCCTATACCTGGTTTTGAGTGGTTTATTGAGATAAGATCCCAGGCCAAATCAGGGCCCTGAACAGTCCCCTAGACTAGGGGGCCCAACAAACTATGGCCCAAGGGCCTTTTTATAAATAAAGTTTTATTGAAACGCAGACACTCCCATTTGTTAACTATTGTCTATGGCTGCTTTTGTGCCACAGTAGCAGATGCGAGGAGTTGTGAAAAAGGTCACATGACCTGCAAAGTTGATAAGGTTTGGCTCCATGTCCCCACCCACATCCCATCTCAAGTTGTGATCCTTAGTGTTGAAGGAGGGAGGTGACTGGACAATGGGAGCGGACTTCCCACTTGCTATTCTCGTGATAGCATTCTCATTAGACCTGGTGGTTTGAAAGTGTGCAGCACCTCCCACCCCCACCTCCTGCTCTGCCATGTGAAGATGTGCCTGCCTCCCCTTCGCCTTCCGCCGTGATTGTAAGCTTCCTGAGGCCTCCCTAGTCATGCCTTCTGTTCAGCCTGCAGAACTGTGACTCAAGTAAACCTCTTTCCTTCATTAATTACCCAGTCTCGGGTATGTCTTTATAACAGTGTGAGAACAGACTAATACAAAAGGTAAAAATATTTTCTGTCTTGCTCTTTACAGACAAAGGTCACCAATCCTTGCTCTAGACAGCGGCAGGCTGCTAGGGCCTATCTGTTGCCCTGATGTAGGCCCCAGTAGTTTCCCTAACATTCACATCACCAAAGCTGTCTGCTGCTTTTTGAGGAGAGGTATGGAGAGGTTAGGAATGTGGGAGAGGGGGACTTATTGGAGGAACAAGTGAGACAGAGATGAAGGCAATTTAAAGTCTTCAGAAAAAGAGAAGGGTAAGATGACAACAAGAATGAAAAGAAAAGAAAGAGAGAAAGCATCTCAAAAAATGCATAAATTTATAAGCATATATAATTAGATATAAAAAATTACGATTCTAACATAAAGTTTTAGCTAATGCTTAAATCAGAACACATCTGTTACAGGCCAACAGGCATATAAAAATTAGAATAACAATAGTAAGTCACCTTGGATTTCTATAGGTCTTTTCTTCCAGTAAGTTCAAAGCCTTTCCTTCTAATCTCTCATCTACTTATATAAAATTTATGAGAACTGTTCTCATTTAACAGATGAGAAAACAGGATAAACTACAACAAAATTGGATTTGAGGTTTCTTAACTTCAGATGACCATATGATTTTTCATCTAATAACCAGTGCTCCTTTTGTGAGCAAATAGGGGAGGGTGCAATTAATAATTACACTTGGACAACAGGTGGAAGCCAAAACTGTCCCAGGCACACATTAATTCTCACTTTAATAATCTGTGTTCCACAGAGAAAATAGAATTAGGAAAGTTCATTTGTATGATTTTCAGCAAGTCAAATATCCACAAACTTACTTCGTGGGAGTTTAGAATGTAAGAAACAGAGAAATGAGGTTGTTGTATAGAAATTTCACAAGCCTAGCCAGGCATGGTGGCATGCACCTGTAGTCCCAGCTATTTGGTAGACTGAGGCAAGAGAACTGCTTGAGTTAGGAATCTTGAGGCTGCAGTGAGCTATGATTGTGCCACTGCACTCCAGCGTGGATGACAGAGCAAGACCCCATCTCTAAAAAGAAAAAGAAAAAAAGAAACTTCACAAGCTCAGAATTCTAGGAAGCAGCTGAGCTGCCCACCTCTAGTCCTGGGGCCTCAAAGCTATTAGCTTATCAACTTGTCATTAGGGCCAAAGCAGGAAGAGTTCTGAGGAGGAAAGGGAAGGGAGGTGGGAAGCAATACCTATAGCCAAAGGTGCTCTGAAAGCCACAGAGAATCTGGCCTAAATGGGGAGACCAGGCCCAGATCTCAAAGCCTGTGTTCTTCCATGAAAAGGTGGAACAGTGGAAACTGATTATTCAAATACCTCTCATGCTTTGGCAGAGAGAGGAAGGAGGGAGACAGGAGGGGAGGGTTATCATTAGCCTTTGTTGGCTATTCATCTTTCTGTCATACAGGAGACAGCTTATAAATGTTGGATGAATGAATGATTGATTGAATGTATTTCCCTGCGCAAACTTAAATTGACTTATTAGCTTCAAATATTGGAATAGCATTTGTAGACACAAACCAAGATTTCAGACGGCTCCACTACTTGTACTGGATTCCTCCACTTCAGTCCAGATCCCTCTCCCAAGTCCTGTAAAATTAGAATAACATAATATGTGTATAATTATATTACAGTGTTGATGCGATGATTTAAAGAGTTAACATATATAGGGTGCGTAGGATAATACCTGCCCTACTGTAACCATCATATAGGTGGATATGATGATAATGGTGGTGGTAGTAAAGGTGGTGGTTAAGGCAGAGGGGAGGTGGTGATGGTGGTAATGAAGGTGGTGAAGGCGATGGTTGTAATTGTATTGGCAGTGGTAGTGGTGATAAAATCCAAGCACCATAAAACAATTTCAAAAAGTCTAACATACATGCAATTGGAGTCCCAGGAAGAATAAAAAACGAAGAATAGGTTGAAGCTCAGTAATTCCAGGGGGAGAAAAAAGAAATAGGACAGGAGAAATATCTGAGACATAGTACTCAAGAATTTTCTAACATTAGACAAAAACAACAAAACCATAGGTCCTAGTTCAGAAAACCCTAAGTAGGATCAACACAAAGAAAAATACACCCGAACATTAGAGTCAAAGTGCTGAGAACTCAAAGATAAAGAGAAATCTTCCAGGCAGCCAGAAAAAAATTACTTATATAGGATAAAAAGGGATAATAATTATAGTTGCCTTATTGGCAGAAATCATGGAAGCCAGTAGGCAATGGAGAGAGAGCTTTACAAGACTGTAAGAGAAAATCCTGTCAACCTAGAATTCTATACCAAGCAAAAATGTCTTTTAAAAATGAAGGCAAAATAAAGATTTTTTTCAAACAATCAAAAGCTGAGATAATGTATTGCTGTCATGCTCTACAGAAATGTTCAATTGTAGCAGGACGAGCCGCAGACAAAACCTGTCAGACACCAAGTTGTAGAAGGAAGGGCTTTATTCAGCTGGGAGCATTGGCAAGCTACTGCCTTAAAATCCGAGCTTCTCGAGTGCACAATTTCTGTCCCTTTTAAGGGCTCACAACACTAAAGATTTCACATGAAAGGGTCATGATTGATTGAGCAATCTAGGGGATACGTGACAGGGGTTTCATACACTGGTAGTCAGAGAGAAACAGAACAGAGCAGGGAGTTTCACAATGTTCTTTTATACAATACCTGAAATCTATGGGTAACATCGGGTTCTAAGTCATGAGTTGATTTTTAACTACTAGGTTTAGGCCAGGCAGGCCCAGGCCTGGTTTTGGGACTGGCGCTGGGCTGCCTGTCTTTGATTTCACTTCCTTGTTTTTTTTCTTTTTTCTTAAAACAGGTACTGAGTATAAAACAATATAAAACAATATGAGAGGGTCTCTCTCCTCCCTCACAATAAAGTTCTTCAGGGAGAAGAAAAATGATACCAAGTAGAATGTGGGATCTCAAAAAGAAGAAAAAAGGAAGAAAAAGAGTGCCCAATGTGATAAATACATAGGTAAATGAAAAAAAAAAAAAAGACAACATCGTGTTCTTCCAGATATAATTTTTTGTTACCTAAAGCAGGGATCATAAACTACAGCCCACAGGATAAATCCTGCCTGCTGCCTATTTTTGTAAATAAAAATATTTTGGAACACAGCCATGCTCACTTATTTCCGTCTTATCTATGGCTGCTTTTGTGCTATAAGAGTAAGGTTAAGTAGTTGCAATAGAGACTGTATAGAGTGAAAAATATTTACTATCTAGCTCAGAAAGTTTGCCAACCTCTGGTCTAAATGTATTGTGGGGGCTGAGTGCGGTGGCTCATGCCTGTAATGCCAACACTTTGGGAGGCCAAGGCGGGTGGATCACCTGAGGTCAGGAATTCGAGACCAGCCTGGCCAACATGGTGAAACCCCCTCTCTACTAAAAATACAAAAATTAGCCTGGCGTGGTGGCGCATGCCTGTAATCTCAGCTAATGAGGAGGCTGAGGCAGGAAAATTGATTGAACCCGGGAGGCAGAGGTTGCAGTGAGCTGAGATTGTACCACTGTACTCCAGCCTGTGCAACAGAGTAAGACTCCATCTCAAAAAAATAAAATAAAAAATCAATGTATTGTGGGATTTATGATGCATGTAGACATATGACAACAACAGCACAAAGAAGGAAAGCAGAAATGGAGGTGTACCCCTGCACAGTTCTTACGCTATACAGGAAGAAAGACTGGGGTAAGTTAAAGATGTATATGTAGACCCTAGAGTAACCAGTAAAAAATAGAAATAGAACAAAGAGGCATAGCTAATAAGCTAAGAGCTGAGATAAAGTATAATTAGAAAAAATACTCAATTATTCCAAAAGAAGGCACGAGAAAAGAAAGAAGATGGGACAAACATGGGGTTGGGGTACAAATGCAGGATAGTAGATGGAACCCAGTTGTATCAAGAATTACATCAAATAAATGGTCTAAACATTCCAATTAAAAAGCAACAATTAGGTTGGCACAGAGGCACGTACCTGTAGTCCCAAATACTCAGGAGGCTAAGGCAGGAGGAGCCACTGAGCCCAGGAGTTTGAGGCTGCAGTGAGCTATTACCACACCACTGCACTTCAGCCTGTGTGACAGAGTGAGACTCTGTCAAAAAAAAAAAATTAAAAATTAAAGTAAAAAGCAGAATTGTCAGGTTAGCGTCAAAAAACAAAAAAGCAAGACTCAGTCTATGCTGTCTATAAGAAACCCACTTTAAATATAAAGACATAAATAGTTTAAAAGTGAAAGGCTGGGAAAAGATATGCCATACACACACTAATTGAAAAAAGCTAAAGAGGCTGTATTTATAGCAGACAGAGTAGTATTCAGGACAGAGAATATTACCAGGGATAAAGATGAACATCCTATTATGACGAGCAGGTCAATTCTTCAAGAAGACATAGCAAGATTAAATGTGTGTGCCCCTTATAACAGAGCATTAAAACACAGGAAGGAAAAACTAGTAGAAAGAGAAAATAGACAAATTCAAAATTATAATGGGAGATTCCAACATCTCTCTCTTATTAATTGATGGAATAAGTACACAGAAAATCAGAAAGGATATAGAAGATTTCAATAACATTAGCAACCAACTTAACCTAATTGACATATATAGAACACTTCATCCAACAATGGCAAAATGCAAATTCTTTTCAGGTGCTCATGGGACATTCACCAAAACAGACTACATTCTGGCCTGTAAACTAGATCTCAATAAATTTAAAATGATTAAATTCATACAAAGTATATTTTCTGATCTCAATAGAATTACATTAAAAATTAATAGGCCAGACGTGGTGGTTCACTCCTGTAATCTCAGCGCTTTGGGAGGCTGAGGCGGGTGGATTGCATGAGGCCAAGAGTTTGACATGGCAAAACCCTGCCTCTCCTAAAAAAATAGAGAAATTAGCCAGCCATGATGGTACATGCCTGGCTAATTTTTGTATTTTTTTTTTTTTAGTAGAGATGTGCCTGGCTAATTTTTGTACTTTTTTTAGTAATCCCAGCTATTCAGGAGGCTGAGGCATGAGAATCACTTGAACCCAAGAGGCAGAGGTTACAGTGAGCTGAGAACGTGCCATTGCACTCCAGCATGGGCAACAGAGCAAGACTCTGTCTCAAAACCAAAGAAAATTAATAACAGAAAAAAAAACTGATACTAGCCAGGGTTATCTAGAGTTTGGAGAAACAGCATTGCTGACAGGAAAATTAGCATAAGCTTTCTGAAGGCTAATTTGGCTCTATGTACCAGGAATTTAAGATGCACATCCCTCTAATCCAGCTATTCTATGTCTAGACATTTATGCTAAGAAAATAGCCATGGATGTGGGTAAAGATTTCAGTACCAGATTGTTCAAGACAAACCTAGTGGTCGGGCATGGTGGCTCGTGCCTGTAATCCCAGCACTTTGGAAGGCTGAGGTGGGTGGATTGCTTGAGCCCAGTAGTTTGAGACCAGCCTGGGCAACATGGTGAAACCCCGTCTCTACTAAAATAATAATAATACAAAACTTAGTTGAGTGTGGCGGTGTGTGCCTGTAGTCCCTGCTACTCAGGAGGCTGAGGGGGGAGGATCACTTGAACCCCAGAAGTGGAGGTTGCAGTGAGCCAAAATCACACCACTGCACTCCAGCCTGGGTGACAGAGTGAGACCCTGTCTCAAGAAAAAAAAAAAAAAAGACAAATCTATTGCTAGTAGCAAAAAGAAAATTTTTTTTGAAATATCTTAAATGTCCAATAATAGTAGATTAAATGTTTTGATATGTTCAAATAGAATACTATGTCATGATTTAAAATATCTTTATGGAAAAAATATTAGCATGGAAAAACATTCACCATAAAGTGTTCATGTGAAAGAAGTAGATTATGAAACAATACATACACTATATCCCAATAATGTGTGTGTGTGTGTGTGTGTGTGTGTGTGTGTAGAAGGCTAAAAAGCATATATTTCTGTTTTAGTCTGTGCTGCTGTAACAAAATATCACAGACTGGGTAATTTATCAACAATAGAAGTGTATTTGTCACAGTTGTGGAGACTGGGAAGCCCAAGATCAAGGCACCAGCATGTCTGATGTCTGCTGAGGGCTGCTCTCTGCTTCTGTGATGGCACCCTGTTGCTGAGGGAGAAGACAAACCCTGAGTCTTCACTTGGTGGAAGAGAAGAAGGGGCTGAACTGGCTCCCTCAAGTCCTTTTATGAGGCATTAATCCAATCATGCGAGCAGAGTCCTCACGGTCTAATCACCTCCTAAAGACCTCACCTCTTTCTTAATACTGTTACATTGGGGATTATCTTTCAACTCGAATTTTGGTTTTGTTTGTTTGTTTGTGACAGAGTCTCGTTCTGTCACCCAGGCTGGAGTGCAGTGGTGCAATCTCAGCTCACTGCAACCTCCGCCTCCCAGGTTCAAACGATTCTTGTGCCTCAGCCTCCTGAGTAGCTGGGATTACAGGCATGCACCGCCACGCCTGGCTAATTTTTTGTATTTTTAGTAGAGTTGGGGTTTCACCATGTTGGCCAGGCTGGTCTAGAACTCCTGAGCTCAGGCAATCCACCTGCCTCAGCCTCACAAAGTGCTGGGATTACAGGGGTGAGCCACCGCGCCCGGCCTCAGCATGAATTTTGGAAAAGACACAAACATTCAAGCCAAAGCAATATCCTTATGTTAATTCCAGTTATCTCTGACCATGGAATAATGGATAACTATAATTTTATTCTTTGTGCTTCTCTGTACAATCCAATTTCTCTCTACAATAAATATGTATTGCTTTCAGAATCAATGAAAATAAGTTGCATTTAAGAAAAAATTTTTCTCTTCTTCCCAGTTTGAAATACATTTTCTTTAAATTCAAGTCTACTGCCACATTAGGCAGGTTTTGTTTCTTTTTTGTTTGTTTAAATGAAACAAGTAACTGTTCAGCAAGTGGCTAAGAATAACCTCTCCAGGCAGTGGTAAGAAGTAGGAAGTAGGGAAAGAGAGAAAAGAGCTACTCAGGGTCAAAAGAGGCACCGACAGGGTTGGGGGTGGAGTTCAGAATGCCAGGTTAGCTGCCAAGGTACAGAGAGAGAAAGACAGAAACAGAGAGAAAAGGAGGGAGAGAGAGAGACAGAGCAGAGAGGGAGGGAGAGAAGAGAGCACACGTGTGTGCTTTGACCAGCAGGCCAGGATGGGGCTGTTTTCCTCTCCTGTGTCTGCCCCCACCTTGCAGGATCATTTGGAGTCATTGCAGGGCTAGCTTAGCTCTGCCTGAGTCACCCCCAACAGGTAAACTTCTACCAGCAGAGTCTCTCCTTTCGGTTAAAGAGTTGCTTATAGATCTCGTGGTTTTTCAGTTAACATCCTCAGGATCCCCACTTCAGCTCCCACCTTCTTTCCCAGGTCTGGCCTCCCTAGTCCCAGTTTTGGCTCCATCATCCTATTTCCTTCACTCCTTTCCTCCAGCTTCTTCCCAGCTTCTTCCCTTCGTGCATCTGCACCTCAGCTTCCCAGTGCTCTGTGTTCACTTTGCTCATCGCTCGGGCTTCAGCATCTCCCACTATGTTGGTTGATAATTCCCCACCAGAGAGCCACACACCCCTGAGGAAGAAGGGAGAAGCCAGAGGTTTCTGGAAAATCCAGGAGGCGGAGCAGGCTGGAATGGAAGGTAGAGACAACCATGAAAGTTGAACACGTCATCTGTGCAGGACCGTTCATACTGACATGTGGCTTGACACCAGAAATCTGGGTATTGTAATATCATGTTGGAAAGGAGTTTGTGTGCCTCAAACAACTACTCTAGAGATGTTTTACAATGACAATGATAGAGTAGAGGAATCTTCTAATTCCTACCAAATCAGAAGGGAATTCCTCCTTCCTGCCTGCCTGCCTGCCTTCCTTTCTTTCTCTACTTCCTTTTCTTTCTTTCTTTCCTTCCTTCCTCTCTCTCTTTCTCTCTTTCTTCCTTTCTTTCCTTCTTTCTTTCTTTCTCTCTCTCTCTCCCCTTCCTTCCTTCCTTCCTTCCTGAGACAAGGTCTTGCTCTGTCTCCCAGGCTAGAATGCGATGGTGCAATCATGATTCACTGCAGCCTCAACATCCCAGGCTCAAGTGATCCTCCCACCTCAGCCTCCTGAGTAGCTGGGACTACAGGGGCTTGCCACCACGCCCAGCTAATTTGCGTGTGTGTGTGTGTGTGTGTGTGTATGTGGTAGAGATGGGGTCTCACTATGTTGCCCAGCTGGTCTCAAACTCCTGGTCATAAGCAATCCTCCACCTCGGCCTCCCAAAGTGTTGGGATTACACGTGTGAGCCACCATGCCCAGTCTCTATTTCTTAATAGTGTCAGCAACTGAAAGATATAGAAAAGGAAGTCTGTTTGGTGTGTCTGTTGCCTCCCCAAAATCTTCAGCCTTTGTAGGACAGTGCATCCCACTGGGCAAAACCAGAGAATATTCTTTTGTGAGCCCGTAAGTAATTGTCTGCAATAGACATGCAGGGGCCTCTACTGTCATCTCTTATGCAACTGAACTTCCTAAAAACTGTGGTGTTTATCTCTTCTGTTGCTCAGCACTGCTGGGACTGGGACTGCAAAAAACAAAAAAGCACCCAGGTTTACTGCCCTTAAAAAACTGACTGCTAGAGGAGATGAGCATATACATGACAGGATGTGATAAGATATTAAGCAGAATGTGATCAGAATCATAGGAAGTATATACAAAAGATGGGAACACTAATAGAGGTGACTACAACCACCTGCTTTGTAGAGGAGATGACATTCAAGCTGAGTTTTAAAGGATGAGTAGGAGTTGGCCAGAAATGGAGAGGGAGAATAAACCATGGGGAAGTAGTACACAGGCATGGCATGTTTAGAGCATTTTTGGAGCAGGGTAACCAGAATATACTGGAGGTTGCTAGTAGAGGAGATTGGAAAAGAAAGGGTCAGATTATTAATGGATTTACGTATTATGCAAAGAAGTTTATATTTGACCCTTTTTTTGACAATCTGGCATTTAGCCTTATCATAAAATAAAGATCTCTCAATGCTTCACATAGAAACTTCATCTGATCTCTTGAGGATCAAAAAATGGCTTTCTGGGTTTTTTTTCTTTCTCTCTCTCTTTTGTTTTTAATATCTCACATATACTTTAACCACCATAAATTCAAGTTTTCTCTTACTCAGACATGAGTTGCTTAACAATGGAATAATTCATTTCTTTATTTCTCAACATTGCCCTTTTGAAGGTTTTAGGTTTTAGGTTTTCTAAAACTCTGAATACTTTTGGCTATCATTATCCAGGGAAAGCCTGAAGACACTCCAAAGCACAAGGACAAAAGAGACCTTGTTAGATCTAATTAAGCGCTCCAGCACCAGGGGCACGGGGAGCAAGAGAAAAATACAGAGTCAGAAACTGAGCCGAGTTCTATGGTGGTACAGAGTGAGGCCTGCTTCACTGTGGGCTGGGGCTGGGGCAGGGAGGCCTTCATCTTGCTCTAAGCTGTGCAAAGTACCTCCCACGAGGCTAAGTATAGAGCTACTCAATAAAAATTATGCAATGTGGCTGGGCACGGTGGCTCACATCTGTAGTCCTAGCACTTTGGGAGGCTGAGGCAGGTGGATTGCCTGAGCTCAGGAGTTCGAGACCAGCTTGGGCAACACGGTGAAACCTCGTCTCTACTAAAATACAAAAAATTAGCTGTGCATGGCAGCATGTGCTTATAATCCCAGCTACTGGGGAGGCTGAGGCAGGAGAATCGCTTGAACCTGGGAGGCGGACGTTGCAGTGGGGCAAGATGGCGCCATTGCACTCCAGCCTGGGTGACAACGCGAGACTCCATCTCAAAAAAAAAAAATGCAATGCTTAATAAACTCTCTCTTATCCTGATCCTCCTTCCTCTCCTCCTCCTCCTCCCACCACCACGTCTCTCCTCATTCCAGGTGGCTTTAAATATCAACTGTATAATAAAGCCTCCAACGTGTATTTCCCCAACCTTGACCTCTCTTGACTCATACATCCATCTGCCAACTCAACATCCCTCTGTGATAGTTAACAAGCAGCTTATGCTCTACAAATCTTGATTTCTGCATCCTTCACGTGGCAGACGACATTGACCAAAGATGGGCACAATACCTCCTATCCCACATGTTCTTCTACAATGTGACATCGACACCCTCCCATCCAGGGCCAGGGTCCGTGTCTCCTTCCTTTGAACTCGGACCAATCTTCGTGACTCCTTCAAGCAATAAAGGACAGCAGAAATGAGACTATGGGAGTTCTGAGGCAAAGGCATGAAAATGTCACCTGCTTCATATCTTGTTTTCTTGGGAGGCCACTTTTGGAGCCCAGCCGCCATGCCATGAGGGAGTGAACCCCAACACGAGGAGGTGCAGGAGTTCTGGCTGACATCGCAGCTGACGGCCCAGCTGACAGCCAGCATCCACAGCCAGACGTGTGAGTAACAAGCCTCAGATGGCTCCAGCCAACCTTTGAGCTGCCCTAACTAATCTCACCTGCAGCCGTCCCCATCGAACCCTGCCCAGGCTGCAACTGGTGAGCAAATCAAATGATTGCTGATGTTTCATGCCACTAAGTGCAGGATGGTTGGTTTGTTTGTCACTCAGCAGTAGATAACTGAAACGCATCTGCCGAAAACCTTCTCTGATTATAGAGCCATTATCTACTCCACTGCTCAGGAAAAACCCCACTCTTCATCTCCCAGCAAATCCAGTGGATTCTGCCTTCAATTATATCCAGAATCCAGCCATTTCCTGTCACCTCCCTCCCCATCCCCCGCAAGCCTCTATCATCTTTCAGGATGGGCAACAGCCCCTAATGGCTCCCCACGTCTGGACTTTGTCCCTTACAGCCTAGTCTCCATGAGTCTTTAGCATCCTAGTGCCTCTTGTTAGTAACTGTCTTGTGCCCTATCCCTTAATCGCATCAGGTCTCACTCAGAATTTAAAAATAGAAAAATGCTTTCAGTGGCCTACAAGACCCCATATTCTGCCCTACACAGCCTGGTTCACTCCCCATTCCATTGATCTCCCTGCCCCGGCTGCTGTCCCTGCAGGCCCCATCAGTATGCTCCCATCTCAGGGTCTTTGTCTTCTGGAGGGCTCTTCCCCCAGATACCACAACCTTTGCTCCCTCCCTTCCCCTTCGGTCTGGGTACAAATGTCTCCTTATGGAAGAATCCTGCAGGCACCCTACTGAAAGCAGAACTATGGCTTCCCCCGCCCTCTCGCCCTCCAGGCAGGCCCAACCCCCCTCACCATTCGTTTTTTTCACTTACTTATCACCGCTGATGTGCTATATATTTACTTATTTGCCACATCTGTCTCCTCCCACATGCAAGTATTGCTCCATGAGGTCAGGAACTCTGCTTTCTTTACTGCTGCATCCCCGGGAACCCTAACAGCACCTGGAATTAATGAGCATGCAATGTGTACTTGCCGAGCAGATGTGAATGAATTACTTTGAAACTGACGCCAAAGGGCACCATCAACACAGAGGTGAGTGAGTCAGAATAGTCCCGCCTTTGTTCCCGCTCCCTTAGGATAGTTTCTCTTTACTTGACTTCTTTAAAAGAAAATCCATCAACAAGTTAATCACAAGGAAAATACTGACGGATTTTCCTCATTGCCAGACATTTAGAAAATATTCTGCATCTTTCTTCAGCCTCTAGGCTTCCTGACATTCCTTGAAGATGTTAGATCTAAACAAGCACCTGAGACAACTACTTCACTGAACTAAACACATGTAAATATAATCTTGATGACGCTGCCTTAGAGGTAGAATTATGTACCTCGAAGTCACTGAGACTTTCTGCTACTCTAGAAACCACTTCCTGTGTTAAGTGCAAAATAGGCATGATTTTATCTGTGTTCAGAAAGAAAAGTCAGAAAATTAAATTACAGTGATAGCTTATCTTATGCACAGGGCATTTTTCTTTTAACAACTAGAAGCTTTAAAAATCGAATATGTAATTTATATACCTTATAGAAAGATTTTAAAACATACATTAAAAAGTAAATAAAAATAATTTAAAATCCCAGAGGCTGGGTGCAGTGGCTCACGCCTATAATCCCAGCACTTTGGGAGGCCCAGGCAGGCACTTGGGGCCAGGAGTTCGAGACCAGCCTGGCCAACACGGTGAAACCCCCTCTCTACTAAACATACAAAAATTAACCAGGCGTGGTGGCACACGCCTGTCGTCCCAGCTACTTGGAAGGCTGAGGCAAGAGAATCTCTTGAACCCCAAAGGCGGAGATTGCAGTGAGCCAAGAATGTGCCACTGCACTCTAGCTTGGGTGACAGAGCAAGATGCCATCTCAAAATAAATACATAAATAAATACATAAATAAATAAATAAGTTTAATCTAATCCCAGAGATAACAGTTATTACTTGATGCATATTCTTTTACCACTTTGTCGATGTATCCATCTACATATTTATATTTTTTCTTATTAAAATGGAGCCATACCAAAACAACTGCTTGAAGTCTGTTTGAAGTCAGCTTTGCCCTTTAAGATTTCGAAGGTAGGCCAGGCGTGGTGGCTCACACTTGTAATCCCAGCACTTTGGGAGGCCGAGATGGGCGGATCACCTGAGGTCGTTAGTTCAAGACCAGCCTAGCCAACATGGTGAAACCCTGTCTCTACTAAAAATACAAAAATTAGCCAGGCGTGGTGGCATATGCCTGTAATCCCAGCTATTCGGGGAAACTGAGGCAGGAGAATGGCTTGAACCCAGGAGGTGGAAGTTGCAGTGAGCCAAGATAGTGCCACTGCACTCCAGCCTGGGCAACAGAGTGAGACTCCATCTTAAAAAAAAAAAAAAATTTCAAAGAGGTAGAACCTTTACAAGTCTTCAACATTGTCTGTAGGGAGAAGATCTCAACACGCAGCTCAGGACATCCAGCTCCTGGTCCCTATTCAGCACAACATTAAATGACAAGACCTTGGGTAGAAATACTTTCATTCTCAGAGTGTCAATTTCCCTGCCTGTTCAAATGAGACAGGTTAACTACAAAAGCTAGGCACAGATCAACTCTGTGGCTTCTCCCCTTGGGTGCCAAAATGTTAAAGCTTTGAAAATGGCAGAGTATTTTCAGGTGTGGCATCACACTGCCACCCCTAGGCTCATGAGAGATATCCTAAAAAGACTGAAGCCTCAAGAAGCCCTAGATCCTAGCTACATTTATTCAAAAGCTGGATAATTTACATGCTAGGGGGAATTCTTACAGAAAATGCCATTCATTCATTCATTCACTCACTCAACAAATATACAGTGAACACCTATCCTATGAAAAGCTAGATTTATAAAAAGGTTAGAAAGGCATGACTGATATTTGCCTTCAAGAAACAGTCTAGGGGTAGTAAGTATATAGGTGAGTACATGAGAAATTATGACACAGCCTGGTGGTTGCCGTGGAATATGTGAAGGAGCACTGGAAAGTCATAGTTCAGGAAAAGATCATGGAAGAAATGACACCCTGAGTCTTGAAGAAGGAATAGGATATCAGAGCACAATGATTAGAGAAGGTTGGAGGAGGAGGACAAGATGGGAAGAAAGGACCTTTAAGGTAGAAAAAGCTTCCTACACAAAACCCACAGCATGTCTGGAAATGATGAGTGGTTCTGAAGCAACAGAAAGGAGCGTGCCTGGCAGTAGACAAGAAGGGGCAGAAAGCGGGGTGGCCAGGCCTGGAGGGATGCCAGCTTCAGAGTCAGAAGAATCCGGGCTCCCCTAAACTCAACCATTCACTTGGGGGTGTGGGGGAGATGAGGCAGGTGCTGAATCGGCCAGATTTCAGCTCTGAGCTTCTCCTTATCTCTAAAATGGAATCATAAAATCCACTCCTTGCAGAGTTCTTCTAAGAATTAGGAAGAAAGTGTGAAAAGTGTCTGCCATGTAGAAGACATTCCATGTGATGATAAGGTTATTGTTATTAAAAGTAAGTTGGAGTCAGATCATGGTGTGCTAAAGAAGTTTTTTATCCTATGGACAGTGGGGGTCACAGAAGGATTCAAACAGGGAATTACACAATTTGATTCACGTTTGACAGAGCTCTCTGTGGATCCAATTGGTACTTAACCTTGGAGCCCCTTGAAATTCTATCTAGAATATTCTGTGTAAATGCATATGTGTACTTTACTCAGGAAGAGTCCCTAGTTTTCATTAGGCCACAGTGAGCCTGTGACTCCATACAGGTTGAGAATCACTGACAAGAGAAAAAATACATTGGGCATGGTGAGGTGGGCAGGAAGGGGAGGTGGAAAGAATGAGGAGATGCCATATTGTAAAAATACTCACCAGACCTGTGAAGACGACCACATGGAGAGGAACTGCAGCCTCCTGCCGACAGCCAGGTGGGTGAGCCATCTGGGAAGTGGGTCCTCCAGCCCCAGTCTAAACCTCAGGTGACTGTAGTCTCACAAGAGACTCCAAGTGAGAAGCACCCAATTAAGTTGCCCTTGACTCCTGATCCACGGAGACCGTGTGAAAGAATAAGCTAATCATTTGAAGCTACTAAGTTTTGGGGTTCATTATAGAGCAATAGACAACTGATACATTCCTTTAAGTGTTACCACAACTCCATTTCTGGGCATCACTGCCTTTGGCTCATTTGAGAGTCAAGTTTTCATGAGAAGCTTCTTTGTAACATTTCCACTCACAGACCCTGGCAAACTGACTTCAGAGTCTAGCTTTTTTTTTTTTTTTTTTGAGATGGAGTCTCGCTCTGTTGCCCAGGCTGGAGTGCAATGGCGCGATCTTGGCTCACTGCAATCTCTGCCTCCCAGGTTCAAGTGA
This sequence comes from Homo sapiens, assembly GCF_000001405.40. Taxonomy (NCBI): domain Eukaryota; kingdom Metazoa; phylum Chordata; class Mammalia; order Primates; family Hominidae; genus Homo; species Homo sapiens. Next base: position 229,256,785 of record NC_000001.11, read on the forward strand.
TTCTTCTGCTTCAGCCACCCAAGAAGCTAGGATTACAGGCACCCACCACCACACCTGGCTAATTTTTTTTTTTTTTTTTGTATTTCTAGTAGAGATGGGATTTCACCATGTTGGCCAGGTCAAACTCCTGACCTCAGGTGATCCACCCACCTCAGCCTCCCAAAGTGCTGAGATTACAGGCATGAGCCACTGTGCCCAGCCAGAGCCTAGCTTGTAATCACTCCGCTCTACTACCTCCCACCTTCCTTTCTTTGTGTAATAAGATTGCAGTACACAGTGCTGTACAATAAACAAAATATTTTTATACACATAGTCACACTTCATCCTCACAGGGATCCTGAGGCAGGAGAACAGTTACTTTTGTATTTCTCCATTTTGCAGTTTATAAAACTGAGGCTCAGAAAAATTGAACTTCTTTGCCCAAGGTCATTCAGGTACTAAGTGGTAGCTGGGACTCAAAGCAGTTCTTCCAACTCAAATCCCCATTTCTTTCTGTATTCGTCTGCTTGGGCTGCCATCACAAAGCAGCATAAACCGGGAGGCTTAAGCAACAAACATATCTCATCTCACAGTTCTGGACGCTGAAGTCCAAAATCAAGGCATCAGCAGGATTAGAACTTTCTGAGGGGTTGAGAGAGACTCTATTCCATGTCCCGCTCCTGGCTTCTGGGGGCTGCTGGCAATCCTTGCGCATTCCTCGGTCTGCAGGTGCATCAGTCCAGTGTCTGTCTCCATTGTCACATGGCATTCTCTCCTTGTGTGTCTCTCTCCTCCTCTTTTTTTGTTTTGTTTTGTTTTGTTTTTGTTTTGTTTTTTTGAGTCAGGGTCTCCCTTGTTGCCCAGACTGGAGTGCATTGATATGATCATAGCTCACTGCAGCCTCGGACTCCTGGGCTCAAGCCATCCTCCCACTAGCCTTCCAAGTAGGTGAGACTACAGCTGCGTGCCACCATGTCTGGCTAATTTTTAAATTTTTAGTAGAGATGGGGTCTCGATATGTTGCCCAGCAAATCCTGGGCTCAAGCGATCCTCCCGCCTCAGCCTCCCAAATCGCTGGGATTACAGGTGTGAGCCACTGCACCCAGCCTCTCCTCCTCTTATAAGAACACAGTCATACTGGATTAAGGGCTTGCCCTAATGACCTCACCTTAGTTTCATAGTTACATCTGCAAAGACCCTTTTTCCAAATAAGTCTGCATTCACAGGTATTGGGGCTTAGGACTTTAACGTATCTTTTGGTGGGGGATACAGTACAACCCACAGCATTTTCATAACTCATATTTTCCCTTAACAGACAATCTTTAGAGCATCGTTGGACTGTGCCTAAACTGCAAATTCTTGGAATCACCCTGCTGGTGCTGGCCTTGTCACAAAGCACAGCCTGGGAAAGGAGCATTCCAGAAGAGTATGTCAGTGAACCCACCAGGGGGCACTATGTGACCAGAAAATAACCCCAAAACACCAGCGGTTGCATTAAATTCCATTCTGTTAATGAATATTGTTTCTTAACTTTATTTCTTAAATCAGCAACTTCACATTTGATAAAGAGTCAAGGATTTCCTGATACTCGAATCACAGATTTCTGAGCAGCTTTAAAACTCATTGTTCCCCTATATGTAGCAGTGGATTGCTAGTAGCCCTACCAGGTCCTTGAATTGCTCTGGAATGCCAGGTGGAGCTAAATTGAGGGGTCAGGAACTCCTCATTGGATGTGAGATTCAAGTGAGACCATATATCTAAAAATAAGTTGAAGAGCAGGATAGCCAATCTCTGCAGGATTGGGGTCAATCTATCTCTGGGAAGTAATGTTCAACTCTAAGCAAAGCTGCACAAGAAGAGAAATCTGCATTCGGCACTGCTTCCTGGCTGGCCCCACTGCTCCTCCCTTCCTTCCTGTTCAGACACATGTCCCACAAACTTGCCCCCAAACCCCATTGCCTACCAGGTCCCAAAGAGGCCCCAAGTTCCAAAGCCACTTCCCCCACAAGCACAATTTCCAGTTTCCTTAAAGTCAGCAGTAAGGAAAGGCCTCTCCTTAACTGAAACAAAACGTGAAATTCTTTTGGGCAAATCAAGAAGGGATCTGGAAGGAAAACCCACAGGGCAGCCTCAGTATCAGCAGTCCCTGAGTCCCGCCCCTGGGTGGTGAATCTGTTCCTTGGGATTCTGGCATTTCGCCTTAACACAGAAGGCGCTCTTCTGGGCTGATTAAAAGGCTCGGCATATTCTCTCCATGGTTATCCTTACTGTGTGCTTATAGGTGGTGCCAGCACTCATTCATTCATTCCACAGATGTTTGTTGGGCACCTAAAATGTGCCTGACACTGGGACAGATGCTACAGGAGAAAAAAAAAAAAAGAAAGCTCAAGTCTCTCCCCTCAAAGATTTTACATTATCAGCTCAGAGAGCTCCAAACTCCTTGCCCAGCCAATACCCAACAATTCCTACAGAATGGGGGCAGGGGGAGTAAATTTTTAAAAGAAACTGAACAGATAATGTTTTAAGGAGGAAATCAACCATCTCAACAGAGAGGATCGAGGAAAAGTTCTGAGTCGAGCTCCTCCCTAAGAAAGGAGGGAGAGGGCCGGGTGCAGTGGCTCACGCCTGTAATCCCAGCACTTTGGGAGGCTGAGATGGGAGGATCGCCTGAGGTCAGGAGTTCGAGACCAGCCTGGCCAACGTGGTGAAACCCTGTCTCTACTAAAAATGCAAAAATTAGCTGGGCGTGGTGGTGGGTGCCTGTAATCCCAGCTACTCGGGAGGCTGAGGTAGGAGAATTGCTTGAAGCCAGGAGACAGAGGTTGCAGTGAGCCGAGATCGCACCACTGCACTCCAGCCTGGGCAACAGAGCAAGACTCCATCGCAAAAAAAAAAAAAAAAGAAAAGAAAGAAAGAAAGGAGAGAGAATGCAGGAGGGAGAGTGAGACTCGGGAAAGAACAGGGGAAGTTGACAACCACCCTTTTTCTACCAGCTCTCATTTAGCCCATAGTATGTTTCTAACCCATAGATATTTCTAACTGAGAAATATCTCCGAGCAACATGTCCTCACTGCTCAGACATAAGGATTTTCTCACTCACTGCATTTAATGCTGTATTCAATCTCTGCTGTTCTCTGTTCCATTTTCCACAAGTGGCAGTGCCTTTAGGAACAAAACCATTCCTCAACCCCCAGCAGGATTTCTCCAAATGTGGGACCACCTGCATTAGAAATACCTGGGGTCGGCCGGGCGCAGCACTCATGCCTGTAATCCCAGCACTTTGGGAGGCCGAGTTGGGTGGGGAGGGGGGGTGGTGGATCACCTGAGATCAGGAGTTCGAGACCAGCCTGGCCAACATGGTGAAACCCCACATCTACTAAAAATACAAAAATTAGCCTGGCATGGTGGTACGCTCCTGTAATCCCAGCTACTCAGGAGGCTGAGGCGGGAGAATCACTTAAACCCGGGAGACGGAGATCACAGTGAGCTGAGATCGTGCCACTGCACTCCAGCTTGGGTAACAGAGCAAGACTCCATTTCAAAAAAGAGAAATAATTAAAACAAAAAATGAAAGCAGAGATAGGAGCAACACTTGCTGGGAACACCAAAAATGGCCAGTAAGGCACCAGAAGCCAGGAGACAGGCCTGGAACAGAATTTCCCTCAGCATTCAGAGGGTAGCAACCCTGCTGACACCTTGACCTTGGACTTCCGGCCTCCAGAACTGTGAGACAATAAATTTCTGTTGTCCAAGCCACTTGGTCTGTGGTACTTTGTTACAGCGGCCCCAGTCATCTAATCCAGGAAGGTGACATGGTGCGACACCAGAGTTTGATTGCATGCCTGCTGACCTGGCTGCTAGTCCACACAATTTCAGGGAAAGGAAGAGAAAGTCTAATGACTCTGACCTAAATCTCTCTCTCTCCTGTAAAGTCACAGGGAACATCAATAAAGCCAGGAAGCTTTTTCTATTAGGCCTCATTAGTCTTCCATTAAAGGGCACATTTCACCAAGCTGATAGATGGAAATGGTATTGGCTACTGTCTGGTGGAACACAAATGAAGATGTTTGAAAGGGCAAGAAAGACAGGCTGCTGAGAGGTCTAGAGGTGGAGCGTATGGTGGGTGGTCTGTGCAGTGGGGAAACCCCCACCTTAGTTTCCTGGAGTAGGTTACATCTTCCCATGTGAAAGCCAATAATCCGTTACCAAAACGTCTCAAAATGAGTCCACAAAGGGCTGGAAAAAGGCATAAAGGAACTCTTGGGGGTGACAGAAAAGTTCCATACTGGGACGAGGTTGAAGTTGTCGCATGACCGTGTACATTTGTCAAAACTCATTGTACACTTAAAATTGGTGAATTTTGTTGTATGTAAAATTATACCCCAGTAAAGCTGATTAAAATGTTAAAATTAACCATAAAAGAAAATTTCAGTTGGTGGTGTTCAGGGATTATTTTATTTTATTTTATTTTATTTTTGAGACGGTGTCTCACTCTGTTCCTCAGGCTGGAGTGCAGTGGCGCAATCTTGGCTCATCGCAACCTCTGCCTCCTGGGTTCAAGCAATTCCCCTGCCTCAGCCTCCCAAGTAGCTGGGATCATAGGCATCTGCCACCATGCCCAGCTAATTTTTGTAGTTTTAGTAGAGACGGGGTTTCACTATGTTAGCCAGGCTGGTCTCGAACTCCTGACCTCGTGATCTGCCTGCCTCGGCCTCTCAAAGTGCTGGGATTACAGGCGTGAGCCACGGAGAATTTTTTTTTAAGCAGTTCTTGTGAAAACTATCTTTTAAATAAGAAACCAGGCTGAAAACAGGCCATTTAATTTGAAACACAGTATCGAAAATAAATAAGTAAATAAAAGATAATTCTATGGTACTTTTATCAGAATATGGAGGAAACACATAAATATAATTAAAAAGAAAAGAGGAACCAGAAAATCCTCTTTTTCTGAATACAAAACAAGAATTTAAATGACTCGAATGAATAATCCCTGGGTATCAATGCTGTTAAATGCAGAAATAAGCAGAGATGCATCACATTAGAACTGATGGAAGATTTGCTGGTAACTTTCAAATGAGAAGATGAAGGTAGGAAATTATCGTATCACTGAACTCAAGAACTCTATCCACAACTCTAGCCTTGGCTTAATGTTGTAGACTGTTATTTGCAGCATATTCCTGTTAGATAAACAAAATCTCTGTGCTTTGGAGGATGACAGACTCAAAGATTTGAGTTTCATATTAGAGAACTGGATGATAACTTCAGGACTATTTTCTATCTTAAAGCTAACCTGAGCTTATGCTGAATTTATAGAAGTGCTCTGGGAATGTTTTCTACCACAAACCCTTTCTCATCTGTGTCTCCATACTTATTTGGCATCACAGTGCAATAAAGAGCCCTGGTTTGGATGTCACCCTTGACTATAATATAAAGATAAGAAGAGCAACCTTGTCAGGTGGTGTAAGGATCAAGGGAAGTGACATAAAGCACCCAGAACAGGGCCTGGCTCAACAGAGCGCTGTTTTCCTTAGGCATTAAATAATTCAATGCCTTTTGAAATCATAGCTCTGTGTTTTGGGCTTTTTATATTGCATTTTTAAAAGGAGAGGTGTCAGTTTGGTTTGGTTTGAGATAGCAATTCCAACATTGATACATACTAGCTGTGGAAACTGGACAAAATATGTAATCCATTTGGGCCTTTGTTTCTTCATCTGTAAAATGGGATAATACCTCCCTTATAAACCTGTTGTAAGAATTAGGTTTTCTAATACATGTAAAGCACTTAGCACTATACCTAGTGTTTATCAAGTACTCAATAAATTATACTAGTATTAGACGATACTTTAGTTTTATTATAGCCTTCCCACAATCACTTGGTAGCATATAAGAGATCCACTATTTTTTTTTTTTTTTTGAGATGGAATCTCTCTCTGTCACCCAGGCTGGAGTACAGTGGTGTGGTCTTGGCTCACTGCAGCCTCTACCTCCGGGGTCAAAAGATTCTCCTGCCTCAGCCTCCCAAATAGCTGGGATTGCAGGCATGCACCACCACATCCAGCTAATTTTTGTAGTTTTAATAGAGACAGGGTTTTACTATGTTGACCAGGCTGGTCTCAAATTCCTGACCTCAAGTGATCCGCCTGCCTCGGCCTCCCAAAGTGCTGGGATTATAGGTCTGAGCACAGAGCCCGGCCAGAGACCCCCACTTTTAAATTTCCCATAAATCAACATATTTACAATTAAGTTCATTACATTAAATCCATAGAGAGCTGCTGAGTTTTGTTCCATTCATTCACTCATTCAACATCTTCCGAGTGATTGAGGGTTTACTATGTGCCAAATACTATTTTAGGCATGGGGATGGAGCAGGGAACAAGGCCAAAGCATTTCCTGCCCTTATAGAACTTATAATCTAGAGAGGGAGCACACAATAAACTAATAAAGGATATGTATTTTAAGTGATGTTAAATGCTATGGAGTGGGGCATAGAACAAAATAGGGGGCAAATGAAGTGCTGGGGGGATGAAATGGAGAGGGGTTGCTATTTCATATAAGAAAAGAAAAGCCCTCCTCATGAGGTGCCCTGTGAGCAGAACACATGTGGGCTGTGAGGGCCATGTAGACATCTGGGACAAGAGCATTCCAGGAAGAGGAAAAAAGCACATGCAAAGGCCCTGAGGCCAAAGGCTGCTTGATGTGTATAAGAACCAGCAAGAAGGCCTGTAGGATCAGAGTCAAGAGAATGAGGGGTTGGGGGAGCAGACCATGGATGACTTTATAGGCCATTGTGAGTGAGATGAGGCTTTGAGCAGAGGGTGGCCTGATGGGACCTATAGTCCCCTCCTCCCCCCAACACTGGCTGTTTTTTTGTTGCTGTTTTGTTTTGTTTTGTTTGAGATAGAGTCTCGCTCTGTCGCACAGGCTGGAGTGCAGTGACATGATCTCGGGTCCCTGCAAACTCTGTCTCCCGGGTTCAAGCGATTCTCCTGCCTTAGCCTCCCAGGTAGCTGGAACTACAGGCGCCCCCACCACGCCCGGCTAATTTTTGTATTTTTAGTAGAGGTTGGGGGGTTACACCATGTTGGCCAGGCTGGTCTCGAACTCCTGACCTCAAATGATCCACCCACCTTGGCCTCCCAAAGTCCTAGGATTACAGGCAACACTGGCTGTTTTAAAGGAGAATTGTCATTTATTTTTGGTTTTGTTTGTTTACATTTTAATAGGATTGCTCTAGCAGCTGTGTTGAGAAAAGACAACACAGGGAGACAAGCATAGAAGCAGGAAGGGGAGGTAGCTGCAAAAGGCAGGAGAGAGGTGAGGCGGGCTGGTCCAGGAGGTGGCCAGGATTCGGGGGTGAGGCAGTGGGAGTAGCAAAAGCAGATTCTGGATGCTCTTGACAGTAGAGCCTGTAGGACTTGCTGATGGATCAAATGTGGGTGTGAGAAGTCAGGCAGGACTCCCAAGGTTTGGCCCTGGTGTGATGTTTAATATTAAGTGTCAACTTGATTGAAGGATTCACAGTATTGTTCCTAGGTGTGTCGTGAGGGTGTTCCCAAAGGAGATTAACATTTGAGTCAGTGGACCGGAAGAGGCTGACCCACCCTCAATCTGGGTGGGCCCCATCTAATCGGCTACCAGAGCGGCTAGAATAAAGCAGACTTGCTGAGTCTTCTGGCCTTCATCTTTCTGCCGTACTGGATGCTTCCTGCCCTTGAACATCAGCCTCCCAGTTCTTCAGCTTTCGGACTCTTAGACTTACACCAGTGGTTTGCCAGGGCCTCTTGGGCCTTTGCCCACAGATGGAAGGCTACACTGTCGGCTTCCCTATTTTTGAGGTTTTGGGACTTGGACTGATCCACCACTGGCTTCCTTGCACCTCAGCTTGCAGACAGCCAATCATGGGACTTTAGCTTGTGATCGTGTGAGTCAATTCTCCTCAATAAACTCCCTTTCATATATACATGTATCCTATTAGTTCTGTCCCTCTAGAGAACCCCGACCCTGACTAATACACCTGGCAAACTGCCATTTACTGAGATACAAAAGATTGCAGAAGGCACTGGTTTGGTCAAGAAATCTGGATGTTTGGTTTGTTTGTTTGTTTGTTTATTTTGAGACGGAATCTGCTCTGTCGCCCGGGCTGGAGTGCAGTGGCATGATCTCGGCTCACTGCAACCTCTGCCTCCCAGGTTCCAGCGATTCTCCTGCCTCGGCCTCCTGAGTAGATGAGACTACATGTGCGCGCCACCATGCCTGGCTAATTTTTTGTATTTTTTAGTAGAGACAGGGTTTCACCATATTGTCCAGCCTGGTCTTGAACTCCTGATCTTGTGATTCACCCGCCTTGGCCTCCCAAAGTGCTGGGATTACAGCCGTGAGCCACCGTGCCCGGCCTTGGTTTTTATTTCGTTAGTATTAAGAAACCTAATAGGCATTCATTCAAGTGGACGTATCAAGTAAGCAATTGTACATAGAAGCCTAGGCAAGCTAGAAATTAAGGAATCATCAGCTTTAGATCATATTGAAAGCCTTAAGACCAGATGAAATGAATGAGCAAGTAAGTGACTGCAGAGAAAGACTGCCACAGACTGAGCTCTGGAGTCAGACAGGAGGAAGAAGCAGCACTCCCTGAGCTGGGGGTTGTGCAGAGCTGTACAGAGAGAGAGAGAGTGCCAGAGGTTTGCAGAGGGTTCCCTTCAAGTCTTTACTGAGCAGTGCAGGCAAGTGAAGAAATACCTGCATTTCAAATTCCTACTGTGGTAGGCACTCCTACCCCATGCCAGATAAAGAATCACCAGCGAATATTAGAGAAAACAATCCCCAGCACTCACGCACGGCCCAGAGGAACTCCGAATTCCGCCAATCATGGTGAAAACCTTCACAACTCAAGGATTTGTTGAGTAGAATGCTGCTCAGGGCCCACCCCCTAAAAAAAGTGTAAAAACATGACCTGAAGCATCAAGCTCTTTCCAAGGAACTTACCTGCACCCCAGAACAAAGCTCAAAAATATTCATAAAAATAAACATTATATGTATCTCAAAGTAAACTTCTCAATGTCTGGCATTCAATAAAAAATTATCTGGCTTGTAAAGTAGGAAAATATTACCTACAATGAAGAGAAAAGCCAATCAATATAAACAATCTCAGAAATTACTTAGGTGATAAAGTTAGTAGAAATGACACATGTTCCATATGCTTGAGCACTAAACACGGAAACCAGAGGACCCAGATGCAGGTCCAGACACCGAGTGAAACTTCTGCAGGTGAAATGGCAATGCCTGAGACGAAAAATACGCTGGATGGAATTGACAGCAGATTAGATACTATAGGAAAGATGAGTGAATTTAAAGACACAGCAATGGAAATTACACGAAAATGAAAAACAGAAAGAAAAAAGACTGACAAAAAATGAACAAAGCCTGAGTTAGCTGTGAAACAAATTCAAGTGATCTAATATTTGTGTAGTAGAATCGCCAAAGGAAAGGAGAGGCAGGGGCAGAAAAAAATATTTGAAGAAATAATGGCTGAAAAAACTCCAAATCTGATAGCAACTATAAACTCAAAGACCAGAGAAGTTCAGTGAAACTCAAGGACAAGAACTTTAAAGAAAATCAACACCAAGGCACATCATAATCAAATTGCTTCAGACTAGTGATACAGATGAAATCTTAAAACCAAGCAGAGATAAAAGACACGTTGCATAAAAGAAATAAAGATAAGAATGGCAGTTCACTCCTTATCGGAAACAAAATGAGCCAGAAAACACTGAAACAGTATCTTCATGTTAGAAAAAAAAAATTGAAAACCCTAAAAATCGAAATTGAGCAAAAATAGCTTCAAACACAGAAGTGAAATAAAGACTTTTTTGGACATATAAAAGCTGAAAGAATTAGTCACCAGGAGATCTACACTTCAAGATCTGTCAAGGAAAGCCCTTCAGACAAAAGGGAAATGAGACCATGGAAATCTAATCTATACAAGAGAATAAGGAGTCTTAGATATGGTAACTATGTGAGTAAATATAAAACACTTTTTTCTTATTGTTTAAATCTATTGAAAAGAATTGGCTGAAAATGCAGTATATATGTACAAAGTATTGAATAGTATTCAGTCTTAAACAGGAAGGAAATTCTGACACATTCTACAATGTTACAGATGAATCTTGAGGACATTATGCTAAGTGAAATACGACAGTGAGGAAAAGACAAATACTGTATGACTCCATTTATATGAGGTACTGTACCTAGAGAAGCCAATTCCTAGACAGGAAGTAAAATGGTGGTTGCCAGGCACTGTGGGGAGAAGTGAATGGGGAGTTGTTGTTAAACAGGTACAGAGTTTCAGGTTTGCAACATGAAGCGTTCTAGAGATGGATGGTGGTGATGGTTGCACAACAATGGGAATATATTTAATGCCACTGTACATTTCAAGATGGCTGAGTTGCTACATTTTATGTCTATTTTACCACAATTAAAAGGAAAAGAGAGACAGAGAATTAGTAGCTTATTAAGTAAAAACAATAACAATGTATGTGGGTGTACAACATATGTAGAAGTACAACATCCCCAGCACAGATGCTGGGGGAGGATGGAAGCAAATGGTTGTCAGTTTCTTATACTCTGTATAAAGTAGTGTATTATCACTTGGAGGTGGACTGTGATGAAGACCTATACTATCAACCCCAAAACCACCACTAAACCTCACAAGAAGTTATTCTTCCTAAGTGACAAATGAGATAAAACAATCACAAAAATGCCTCTGTCCACTGAAAAGGCCTAGAAATAGCGGTCCCCTGGAGCAGCAAGCACAAGCGTACATATATATTAAAAATTGTCAAAATGTACACTTTAAATATGTGCAGGCCAGGTGCGGTGGCTCACGCCTGTAATCCCAGCACTTTGGGAGGCTGCCCAGCACTTTGGGAGGCTGAGGCAGGCGGATTACCTGAGGTCAGGAGTTTGAGACCAGCACAGCCAACAAGGCGAAACCCCGTCTCTACTAAAAATACAAAAATTAGCCAGGTGTGGTGGCGCGTGGCTGTAATCCCAGCTACTCAGAAGTCTGAGGCAGGAGAATCACTTGAACCCGGGAGGCAGAGGTCATAGTGAGCTGAGATCACGCCACTGCATTCCAGCCTGTGCAACAAAGCAAGACTACATCTCAAAAAATAAAATAAAATAAATACATACGTATGTGCAGTTATGCCTATACTTCAATAAAATTGTTTCAAATAAAAGCACGATGAGCTGCCTGGACAGGTGAAAATTCCAGTGGTAGTCATAATGTCTTTCCATAGACTTTCTCTTCTCCTTTCTTTCAGGGACATAACAATATTGCATTTCCTGTCCTCTTTGAAATTAAGTGTTGCCACATGACTTGCTTTGGCCCATGAAATGTAAATAGAAGTTCTTATAGCAATTCCTGGTAAGTGCTTCTCTAACTAATGCACAATCAGTCCTAATGCATAGCCACTCCTACCTGAGTGATTGTGGAGATGCATTTAGATAAAACACACTCGGTCAGCCTGGGTCTAGGAGGGCCCATGAGCAAGTCTCTGCTCGTGGGAGTGGACAGGTAGTCTGAGCGAGGAACTTTGCTGCGTAAGTCATAAATGGGTTGAGAGATCTGCATTACTGCAGTTAATCTAGCCCATTCTGACTGAATATTCCCTAGCAACAGAGGTATCTGATCATGGACATAGTTTTGACAGTGGAAGGTAAAGTGGCCCAGTGACCTCTGAGGTGTCTACTTTCTTGAAGATGTGAGTTATATGTCATAGTCTCCACCAGCCTGGGTGTGGAATTGAGCTTCCATTTTCAAGTCTCCACTTGTATGTCTGGAATTTGGCTCCTTCTCAAGGTAACACCCAGGGATTGCTGAGTTCCCAAGTGCTCAGACACAAGTCCACTCATTTTCTTCAATTCCAGTTACCAAAGAAAGTCACCATTCCACCGAGGCTGTGACCAGTGCCCTCCACCAGGCCTAGCTCCAAGAATCTCATGCATCAAGCCCCAGGGCTCCTCACGTTGGGCATTAAATGTAAGGTCATGCCACATTCTTTAACATTGTCAGGAAGCAGGAAGGAAAGTACCAGATACTTGAAGGACCCACTGACCTGGAAAAAAGTGGGATCTAGTTTCAGCTTGAAAAAATCCTTCTTCATAATTACATTTCCCTTAGGCAAATCTCTAACATGCCTAGGCTTTTGTATATCTGTTTTTACTGCGTCACAAACCTCCCCCAAAGAGAAGGGAGACGATAACTGGAGAAAACCACAAATTAATCTTCCAATATTTTTTTCTTCCATATAATCAGCAGTGCCTCAGAATCAAAGCAGTCTCTAAAAATATTTTGAAGAAATTTATTTTCTTGGATCTTCAAAGATCCAAAGTTACTGAGATGCAAAGAATCTTCCACAGTATCATCCAAGGATACTGAAGGGCTCCTTCAAACCTCGCCCTTGTATATTTCTTCTTCCAGTTGTGATACTGCAGTTACATTTGCAAACCAAATGATCCCTTTGGGTGGTTTTTCCAAAACAAATCGTCTTTCCCAAAGGCCTACCTAAGTCTTCATTTTCCACAAAGTAGAAAACTGCCCACAGCTTTGAAATGGCAGCATAATTTGTATTTCTACCACCTTGTCCAGGTTTCAGGGATCTCTGGTCCAGTTTCAGTCAATAATGCTAACTATCACTGCAGCTCACTGACTTCTTTCTTGTACATAGCAGTTTTTCGCAGGAAGAAAACAAATCTAACGAATAGGAATAACTTCAGGTGATGCTGTTTTCTTCCCGCTTCCTGGGATCACTGTCTTTCCTCTGAAATGGTTTTAATCAGAACCAATCTGTTATACTCAGGAGCCTAAATCAAACACGACATGCAGAGAGACAAACAAGAAAGCAACAAATGATCTGAGCCACTGAACAAGAAATATATATAAAACAGTTTTAGGAATTACAGCTGTCACAACTTTTCACCATGGGGCCTTCTCTGTGATTTAGAAAAAACTGCATTTATTTGTTATTAGGATCGGAGACAAGAGAAAAATACCGACCCAAATAGCCACTGGGGAAGAGGGAAGCTCTGATGCCAATTTATGTGGAGGATGGAGCCAAACTGACTCACACACACACACACAAAAGTATGTACTGGCATTTTCCACACAGTCCAGGTCACTTGGGAGCTTAGCCAAGGATATTTTGAGCATTCGACTACCTATTGTGAACAAGGTTGGGAACTATGAGGCGCTATGTGGCCCTGATCAAGCTCAGATGGGCCAAATCCTCAACCAAAATTCTCTTTCCCATAAATGTTTATCTCTACATTTCCCACAGAAGGGGATTCTAACTCAGTTTTGCTTCTGAAACCAAACTATCCAAGGCCAGGTGAGATGACTCATGCCTGTAATCCCAGCAATTTGGGAGGCCAAGGAGGGAGGATGCTTGAACTCAGGAGTTCAAGACCAGCCTGGGCAACATAACAAGACCCCATCTCTACAAAAAATTTAAAAATTGGCGCGGTGTGGTCGTGTGAGCCCCTAGCCCCAGCTACTCAGGAGGCTGAGGCAGGAGAATCGGTTGGGCTGGGCTGACAGTGCCAGACCCTGTTAAAAAATAAAAATTAAAAAAACTCCTAAATTTGGAAACACATCCCCAGCTGAGGGCCGGGAGATACTTCTCAACCGTAATCCAGAACCCTCTAAAATGGGATGTGGAGAGGCTGCAGCCTGTAGTCTTGCGATGACCTTTTAGCACCTGGGCATCTTGCGCTTCTGTCATTCCGCCCACACCCGCTCAGCTCCATCCAAGAGGGCCCGGCAGTTTGGAGTGAAAGCTTAGCTTCCCAACGGGTAAATGAACCTGCCTCCCATTCACAGGGCGGCCTCTGGCTGGACACCTGGGGCCTACTGCCTCCTTGTTACACATTAACCAAGTTCTGGCCTCCATCGTAACAGCGTCAGGGAAGTTTTTTCCTGGCTGACAGCCGCAGATGATGACCGAAGACAACGTCTTAACTGAGACGGGCCAATTTGGCAAATGGACTGCTTTCCTCCCCAGTGCGGGCACCTTCCTCCTCTGTCCGGCAACTGGACCCCACTGTCCCCAGCCCTCTGTCACCCCCAAACCTGCCCACCGCCCGCCTCTACCCGACCCTCCCTCAGGGAAATCGGGACTCAGCCCCCAACGCCCCCACCTGCCGCTCTGCCCACCTCAGCGCACACCGCCAGAGCGCCCAGCCCGCGCACGTGCTTCCGGCGCGCGCCGAAGTCCTCACGCGCCCCGCCCCGGCCTCCCCGTGCGCACGCGCGAACGCGGGGTGGGCCGGGCCTCGCGTAGCCCATCTCCTCTTCCTCCTCGCGGTCGCGGCCGGACGGAGGGTGGAGGGCCCTGCGCCTGCGCGGAGCTGGAGTCCGGCTGGGCCGCAGCCGCTGGGAGACCGGCGGTTGCCGTGGGGACCGGTCGGGCCCCTCCCTCCTCCGGTCCCCCGCCCCAGGTCCTTCCCCACCGAGACGCGCCGGCGGACCGCGGGCGAGTGCAGCCGGTGACCCGGCGAGAGGCGGCGCCGCTCCCAAGATGTCGCAGACGGCCATGTCCGAAACCTACGGTACGAGGCCCGGGCTGGCGGGGCGCGCGGGTCGGGCCGCGGGGGGCGTCGGTGGCGCGGGGCCGGGCCTGGGCTGCGGGGGTCTTGAGGGTGGCGGTGGCGCCGGCCGGAGCCGGGGGACGGATCTCGGAGGTGTCTGGGCTTGGGACCGGGATGGGGGACGCGGGCCGCTGGGGGCTCGGGTGGGGTAGCGGGTGCGCGGGGCGCGGGGGCGCTGTGCACAGCGCATTGGCGTGATCCGCCTTTTCAAGTTTCCTCTTGCTCTTTCTCTGCTCTTGCACTCTTAGCGCTTTTCCCCTCTCAGTCTAATGTAAATAACTGAAGGTTTGAAAAGCCAGCTTGATGTTCGGTTTCAGCTGCGATATTATCCCCAGCGAGCCTGTGAAGGGCTTAGGGCGACGCCTGTGTTCCTCAAATACTTCAGTTTGACCTTTCCTGGTTTGGAATTCCTTGCTTTACATTGGGATTACAGTGAGGAGTTATTAATAGGCTAATTCATTCATCTCTTCCTCCGGAGACCTCTTGCTTCGTTTATTTCTCCCTCCCTCTCAGTGTTTTTTAGCCTTTTCTGGGTTGCATTTTGGCTATTTATAAACATGTCTTGTCTCCTTCTTAAGACCGTAAGCACCTTGGAAGCAAAGCCCTGGCTGTTTAATCTTTGTTTCCCCTGCAGCACCCAGACCTGGAGGTGCTTGACAAATACTGTTTTGAATAAGCGAAAGCTTTCCCAGTGCATATGCTGTGTGCTTTTTTTTTTTTCTCCCCTTTTTTGGCCTTGCGTGGTAAGAATAAACAACTTGTACTTTGTATCAGAGTTGAATATTAATAGATGTTTACCAGTCCCTAATCACTCTTTCAGATGTATGTATTCTCAGATTAAGACTTTGATTTGGAGTTTTACAGTCCCAGAGAGAGGCTCAAGTTCAAAATTACATACCTCAAGCCAAATTAGTCCTGTCTCCATCTGTCCTGGCATGCTGCTTCCTTCTCTGCAACAAATACTGTGGAATGGCATTAGGGAAGCGAGCACCGTGCTGGGAGGGCTGTACATCCTGCAGAAACACAGCAGACACGGCTCTGGTCTCATGGAGCGTAGTCTATTGAGGGAATGCAGTATTAATCCAATTGTGATACTAATGAGTGAATAATTAAAAACCAGGCAAGAGTTCTGAAGGAGTGTGGTCCGTGAAAGTGTGTTAGAAAGAAAGATGACCCAGACAGGGGTGTCAGGGAGGCATTAACCAGGCAGCACGCAGAACATCTCAGGCCTGTGGGAAGGGTAACTCAAGAAGGGTGTGTTTTGAGTACCACGCTGGAGAGGTGGATGAGGAGGCAGAGAGGAGAGGGTCTTGAGGAAGGCGTCAGTTTGTCTTGTAAGAAAAAATGGGAACTTTTGGAAGGGCTTCCATGCTGGGGTCACAGTGCATTTGGTCCACCTTCAGTGAGTGACTCCTGTGACTGGTACTGCCCTGTTCTTGGTGACAAAGGGGCATGACATCTGTTCCTAGAAGGCGTAGGAAATCCTCCAGTAAGTCGATGCCTTCATCAGGACAAGTGTTTGCAAATGTTTCTGCAAATGGCAGTGGTCTGGTTCTTCCTGTAGAGAACCACAGTCAGAAATGTTGTAAGGAAAACATGGTCTTTAGCAATTTTTGGTTACATCTTTGCACTTCTTTATTTTCAAGTGCTCTTTAGCCCAGGCTTAGTTTCTTTAACCTGAGTAAGGAGCACGGAGCACTAGGGGAAGGGTGGAATGTCCAAATAAGAAAAGCAAGTGGGGGTCATGAATCAGTAAGAAAGGATTGGAAGAGTTCAGGAGATAGAGCTTTTATGTTTCATTTTTCGTATACGCATGATAACAACTGATAAAATAGAGCTTATCTTTGGCATCTCCACTTCAGACACAGTTAACTGAACTTTTGAGCTTCACAGATTGATTACATTCTGATCATAAGGCTTTGACCATTAGTATTCTTATTTCATGGTAACTTCCAAGTATGTTTTTACTTTGCAACTCTGAATTGAATCTTTTCTTCTAATAGAGGAAATTAATCGAAAACTAGTAGAAACTAATAAATAGAAAATGAGGCCAGAGGTGATGGCTCACGCCTGTAATCCCAGCACTTTGGAAGGCCGAGTTGGGCGGATCACTTGAGCTCAGGAGTTCAATACCAGCCTGGCCAACATGGCGAAACCCCAGCCCTATTAAAAATACAAAAAATTACCTGGGCATGGTGGTACGCTTGTAGTCCCGGCTACTTGGGAGGCTGAGGCATGAGAATTGCTTGAACCCAGGAGGTGAAGTTTACAGTGAGCCAAGATTGTGCCACTGCACTCCATCCTGGGCAACAGAGTGAGACTCTGTCTCAAAAAAAGAAAATGAGTTTTAGAAGGAGCAAGCAGGACAGTTGAAGTTTGCCAAGCTGAAGTAAAAGTCACCTAGAACCAAGTCCTAGGCTGTCACTTTGACGTATCAGTGGCCATATTTATACAGCATTGTTCCTTAAAAGTGAAACAGTCAGGCTCTCTTCTGGACATTTGCCTCTGAGCTGGTGAAGGAATGTTTGCCTAACCTTTAAACTCCTTTGTACTCTGTGCTTATTTGCTCTTCTGTAAAAGGAGGCTCTGTGTAGCTTGACAGAGAGATGAGGAATGAAATGTACTGGGTTTTTGTTTCCCTTTTTTTTTTTTTTTTTTTTTGAGACAGGACCTCGCTCTGTCACCCATGCTGGAGTGCAGTGACACAATCACGGCTCACTGCCACCTCCATCTCCCCATCTCAAGTGATCCTCCCACTTCAGCCTCCTGAGTAGCTGGGACCACAGGTGCATGCCACCACACCTGGCTAATTTTTTTTTTTTTTTTAATTTTTTTTGTAGAGACGAGGTCTCTGTCTGTTGCTCAGTCTCATCCCGAACTCCTGGGCTCAAGTGATCCTCGTGCCTCCACCTCCCAAAATGTTGAGATCACAGGCATGAGCCACTGTGCCCTGCTGAAATGTACTGTTTATGAGCTACCTCTCATTAATGTGTTCATTTAATATGCTTTTTAACATATTAAAACAGTATTTCACCTTCCATAGACTGAGTAGTGTTGAACATTTTTGTTGCTTTGAAGTCACCACATGAATACTGTACTTTATGTAATATCGTGAAACAAATTGAAATCTTAGGTTTTGGATGAAACCCTTAGTCTGAATATGAAACAGTTCTACCAAATGCCATTAGATACACTACATTCTTAAAGCCCTGGCCAGTTAGTATGGCTTGGGACTTCCCAAGGAACTCTGCTTCAGCCATCTGAGACCTGGGAGATTACAAATTGGCTGAAAGTAATTTTGATGCTAAGCAGCGATGTTCAGAAAGGAGCTGAAAAGTATATGTAGTGGGAAAATGCCAGGAATTTCTTTTGAAATTAAGTGCTGGGGCAGTTCGAGAGTGAGGAAAAATCTAATACAAAATCTCTACATATATTAGAGTTTATGCCGTCTACAATGGGAATAACAAATGAAACAGAAGAATACAATTCAAATTGCTGGTTCTATGCTCATTTTTATTAAAATATACTCTTAATGTTTTTATTTTGTGCTTCATTTTGAAAACAGCACAGTATTACAGTATTTGCCATATAATTTTGAGAATTATCAGAATATTTTCCTTAAAAATGTATCATTTTAGGCTGTTCAGGTTGAATTGTGTTCCCCAAAATATCTGTTTAAGTCCTAACCCCTAGTACCTGTGAATGTGACCGCATTTGGAAATAAGGTCTTTGCAGATGTAATCAAGTTAAGATGAGGTCATCGTACTGAATTATGGTGAGCCCTAATTCAGTGACTGGTGTCATTATAAGATGAGGGAAACTTAGACACAAATGCATTCAGAGAGAAAGAGATGTGAGGATGGAGGCCAAGATTGGAGGGATGCATCTACCAGCCAAGGAGTGCCAAGGGGTGGCTGGCAACCACCAGAAGCTAGAGAGAGGCAAGGAGGGATCCTTCCCTTGAGCCTTCAGAGAGACCTTGACCCTGTCAGCACTCTGAATTTGAATGCCCGGCCTCCAGAACTGTGAGACAATAAACTTCTGTTGTTTTAAGCTTCCCAGTTTGTGGTTCTTTGTGATGGCAGCCCTAAGAAACTAAAATATAGGCTTTGCTCATCAAAATACGATTCATGAGAAATTTAGGATGACAAGGCAAGATGAAGTGAAGAAGATATCCTTGGTAAAGGAAATAGCATTTCTTTTCCTTTTTTTTTTTTTTTTTTTTCTTTGAGATAGAGTCTCTCACTGTTGCCCAGGCTGGAGTGCAGTGGCACAATCTCGGCTCACTGCAACCTCCACCTCCCGGGTTCAAGCGATTCTCCTGCCTCAGCCTCCCAAGTAACTGGGACTACAGGCGCCCGCCACCACACCTAGCTAATTTTTTTTTTGTATTTTTAGTAGAGGCGGGGTTTCACTATGTTGGTCAGGCTGGCCTCCAAACTCCTGACCTCATGATCCCGCCCTTCTCAGCCTCCCAGAGTGCTGGGTTTACAGGCGTGAGCCACCGTGCCCGTGTATAAATAGCATTTCAAAGTCACCTGGTTCCAATAAAGTATGAAATAACTTGCTCTTAGGGAAATCACCCCAATTGCCCTTTACCTTAATTTCATGAAAGATGGAACAGGTAAACATGTCAACAAAGGAATCCTGTAACACCAAAACAAAGGACATTTCTTCAAGTTGAATAAATATATGATTATACATGTTTGTCATTTTCTTTTTCTCATTCACTGAAAGCTGGTGAACATTTCAAGTACCAAAGTTTGGGAAACATTGCACCAGTGGCTTATCAAACTAATGTGCACACGAGTCCCCTGGTGTATTAAAATGTAGATCCTGACTTGGAGGGTGAGGGAGATCGGCATCTGACCAGCTCCCGGGCCGTGCAGGTGCTGTTGGTCCAGGGAGGCATGTAATGACTCCATGCTCGAGAACTTTGAAAGCATGGTTTTTTGAAAAAACAAAATATTCTTTCTCATGGTCATTTGAACTGTAAAGTATTCCAATCCATGCCTGTGACTTTACTGCTGATGCTCTGATGACTGTAACATCTATATTTCTAGTCACATCCTTCACTCAAACTACAGATCTTTTTTTCAGCTACCTAACTACACCTGGGTGGCCTACAGGCATCTGAATGCAGTACGTCCCAAACCCAACAAATTATTCACGCCTATGCCCCATCTTCTATTTTTCCTGTGTTTGCCTAGAAGATAAAGTTAGAGTCCATTTTTAATTCTTCCCCATCCTTACCTCCTGGATCTATTGGGTTTCAGAGTCTTTTGAGCTGACTTCTTAACATGGTTTAAGTTACTGTTTACCCTGAAAGATGCAAAGGAAAGTTAAATTAGGGCCAGTTTACATGATTAAAAGGTAAGCAAATTGGGTTTCATTCCAAAGTTCTTCGTCGTAGTGACTTGAGCAGCTGTGCTGACTATCTTACAGCTTGCCACACAGCATCTGCACCACTGTCCCTAGGCAGCTTCCACAGCACCTGGAACCTGGGTTCATGAGGATACAAGAGCCTCCTGGGCCAGGATGGGAGTAGTTTTCCACTTTAGAAGAACTATATATCTATATATAATATAGATATATATAATATATATAGTTTATATATAAATTATTTACAATTTATATATAATTATTTATAATTTATATATAATTATTTATATTTATATAAATTATTATTATATCAGTGGAAAGTAACAAAGAGTTGGCCTGCTAAGTAACTGCCTTCCTCAAATCAGCCTCCTCAGTGTGTGTGATCCCAACGAATGGGTCAGGAAAATCAAAGACCCAATCACGAACCTGGAGCAATTGTTGGGAGTCTGTGCTGCAAATGTTAAATTTACAAGCGTCAGGATTCCGCTGTGCCGACAACGTTTAATTCAGGCTTAGGTAAACCGCGGCTCCTACAGGCACACTGCAGAGTCCCATGATTAGCTTTTGCTGCCTGTTCCACCTCCTTTACTTCTTATTCTTCCCGCTCCTCTACAGGTCGTGTGCTCTTCTGCTGCCCAAACCTTCCACCTCTCCTAACCAGCATTTCATCAAGGTTCCCACTGTTCAATTCCTCCCTGACCATTGTACCAAAACTTTTTGTCCTTTAAAGTACATGTCATCTTATATTCTGTCCTCTGCCAGCTCCTCGTTGCTGTTATCTGATGACCCTGGGGATAGTCCTTTTTCAACAAGGTCATCTATCATATGGTCTTGCTCTTTGCTCTAACTCCTGACTGATCCTAGGTCACTGCATTGTCCTTGCAGAGGTCAATCAACAACTCCGCTCCACAGTTCCTTGACTTTAGTCAAGATGAAGTCAGGTCTCTTCTACCACCTCTTCAGGTACTCACTTCCCTGACTGCTCCCTGGACTTTGTCACCTATCCCATTCTGACCACTCCAACTCCATCCAGTCTTCACTGTAAGAGCTTCAGGCTGCTGGTCCATCTCCTCCCTTTCTTCTTTTTTTCTGAGACAGAGTCTCACTCTGTTGCCCAGTCTGGAGTGCAGTGGCATTATCTCAGCTCACTGCAACCTCCACCTCCTAGGTTCAAGTGATTCTCGTGCCTCAGCCTCCTGAGTCGCTGGGATTACAAGTGTGCGCCACCACGCCTGGCTCATTTTTGTATTTTTAGTAGAGACGGGGTTTCACCATGTTGGCCAGGCTGGTCTCGATCTCCTAACCTCAAGTGATCCACCCACCTTGGCCTCCCAAAATGCTGGGATTACAGGCATGATCCACCATGCCTGGCCCCTTTCTTCTTTTCAGGCAATGAGCTGCTCTCTCTTCAGATAAGACTCATGGCTTTTCCTTCCACCTCGTCCTTCTTTTTCTTTCAACTACACACACTTTGCACAGCTCCAGCCCTGGCTACCCAGCCATCTGCCTTGCCTGCTGTGCAGACAGAGCTCCTTTTAGATTGAGATCATTGCAGATGTATGGTCTCTGCTTCCAGCTGGGTACTCAGTAATACTTAGCAATCATTTTTCTTATCCTGGCCACCTCTCTCTCCACATCAGCTATTTTAAACCTTCACACATCTCCTCAAGCCCATTCTCTCACTCCTAGTAGATGACCACCAGTAGATGTAAGGAAAAGATGCCATGTCTGCAAACTTGCTTACCTCATCCTTAACCCTTTCCATGTTGTCTCAGAAGGTCTCTGTTGTTTAAAACTAACCCCAGCCTTCTACTTTGGACCCCATCTCTAAAGCTTCAAGTCCCCACTTCACCCATCATGTCTGTTCCCCTCCTTTTCCCTTTCCACTGGTAGCTTCCTGACTTTGCGCCTTCCTCCTTTAACCACCTCTGTCTCTCCTTTCCCTCACAGCTAAACTGCTTATAAGAGCTGTCAGTACTTTTTGTCAACAGTTTTACTTCCTTCATTCTTCAACTGACTGTAATTAGGATTTTGCCCCCACCTGAAATGATGTTGGTTTCACCAGAGATGCTGATGATCAGTCAGTGGACACTTGGCAGCCTTTATCTTACTTAGCTTCTCTTTTCATATTCGGCCCTTATAAGAACTGCTTCCCCAAATCTCCACTGTGTTGGCTTACAGGTATTTTCAACTTAATCTCTGAATTGGCAACTTATTATTTTACCTTAAAGCCTATTCCTTCTCAGAACCTTCAGCATCTCTTATCTCAGTTTTCGTAATCACAGACCCTAAGCCTTTAATTCCTAAAGAAGGAAACCTTCTTTAAATGACTCCATTCTACCCAAATTCTAGTGCTATACCACAGCACTTAGCCTTTTCTGCCAGGAAGTAGGACACATGAAATGCATCATACAGTCAGAGGCCATACATCCGTGCTTCCTTTCTGACATTTGGAAATCTTGAAAGCAAGACGATTGCTTGGGGAAAAAACTAGGAAGGCAGAGGTCATCGTGTCTGCTGAATATGGCTTAATTTTCTTGAACACTCAAGGTCATCATTGACTATTGACTGCTGCACAGAATGTGCTGTGCTATTACGGCCACTTTCTAGCTCATCCCCTGCTGTCCCCATCTGCCTTTGTGCCTGTAGTTCACAGTCCTACTTTAGTATATACCTTTGATCTACTGCAGTTTGGGGCATTAGGTAATAGAGGCTGCTTGAAGTGAATGTAAAACAAGTCAGTCAATTCCAAATGAGGTGTCTCCTGTAGAGTTAATCTTTTTTGGCTTTATGTTTGCTATTTCAGTGGCTAGGAGACCTTTTTTTCCTGGTCTTTATTTTGTCTGTGTTCCTGAATGGCTGACATTTGCTCAAGATTGAATTCTAATTATTTGATACCTTTCCTATTATCTCATTTGACTTTTCTCATACGGAAAGTTAAAAGTACATTAGTAGGATGTATCTGTTTTAGATTTTCTGTTTTGGGGTGTGGTCTTTCCCTTCAATCTTAATTCATTCTGGAGAAAACCCTTATCAGGTGAATATAATTATAAACTGAGTGAGAAAAATTTATTGTGAATTTGAGCCCTCAAGTTAACGTTCACTATAATAAACACCGAATCTAATTTAAGTGGGCACAATTATTTAACCAGTTGACACTTAGTTATATAACCTACATAGGCATTTTGCCTTCATTAATTACTCTGTAATATGGCTATTCACCTGTTCCTGTTAAGCCTTTCTGTAGTTGTTAAGCACTATACACTTAACATATAAAACATACACATGGTATGCTATATATATGTCATCCACTGTTAAGCAAGGAAAAAGAAAAAACCACAGATTAAAAATACAAAATAAACCCATAAAACTAGTACAGATTCTGCCATATTCTGATATGGAGTCATGATGAGTGAGATCATCATTGCTGCAAACCAGCAAACATTGAACACTCTGAGAGAACATGATGCATTCCTGCCAGAATGATTTCTGTGAGATCCAGGTAATTCAGCACTAACTGAAACTCCTCATGAAGTTGGATTCTCATCATCTACCAAGGAATAATTCATTATCTCCTTATAGTTTTATCTGCGTTATCTAAATACATGTATCACCACACAGAAAAAGAATTGATGGACAGCTCAGCTGCTTATCTGCTGCTCCTTCCTTGTGGTATTGTTTCCTTCTTGAATCCTTTGCTAGTTCTTCCAGTTTGGGGACTGTGCATAGTAAACGTACAGAGTCATTGTCTGATAATATCACGTATTTTTTTTTCCGTTAAGCTTTCTATTTTGAGATCATTGCAGATTCATATAGTTTTAAGAAAAAATACGGAGTTCTCATGCACCTTTTTCCTAGTTTTCTCCAATGGGAAAAACTTACAAAACTGTTGCAGAATATCACAACTAGGATATTGATGTTGACACAGATACAGGACACTTCCGTCACCACAAGATCTCTCCTGTTGCCCTTTTATAGGCACAGACTTCCTTCCTATCACCACATTTTCCTTAGCCTTTGGCAACCACTATTCTCCATTTCTATGATTTTGTCATTTTAAGAATATTATATAAATGGAATCTTGCAGTTGCAATTTTTTCGGATTGACTTTTTCACTCAGTATAATTCTCTGGAGATACATTCCAGGTTATTGCATGTATTGACAGTTTAATCCTTGTTATTTCCGAGTAGCATTTCTTGTTATGAGTGTACCAAAGATTGTCTAACAATTTACCTGTTAAAGAACATCTGGGTTGTTTCCAATTTTGGGCTATACCAATACAACTGCCATAAACATTCATATACAGGGTTTTATATGACTCAAAGTCTTCATTTCTCCGAGATGAATGTCTAGGAGTGCAGTTTCTGAGTCATATGGTAGTTAAATGTTTAGTTTTATAAGAAACTGCCAACCATACTGTTAACATTTTACTTAATGTTAAAATCTCGAGCTGTAATGGTGAGTTTGTCTGTTTGGCCTTTTAATTCTGTTAGTTTTTGCTTGACATATTTTACAGCTGTTTGGCATATACACGTTCAAGATACCTATATCTTATTGGTGGGTTTACCCTTATGTATTAATAGTTATGTAATGACCCTTTCTGTCTCTGGTTATTTTCTTTGTTCTGAAGTCTATTTTATCTGATATTAATACAGCCAGCCCTGTTTTTCTTTGATTAATGTTTGTATGATACATCCTTTTCCATTCTTTCAGCAGTCCATATCATTATAACTGAAGTGAGTTTCTTGTAGACGGTGTATGATTAGGTCATGCTTTTTAAGTCAGTCTTCCAATCTTTGTCATTTAATTGATGTATTTATTCCATTTACATTATTGTAATTATTGATATTGTATGACTCAGGTTTGCCATTTTATTTCTCAGTTTTCTTTTCCAGCCTGCCTTGACTGGCCATTTTAAAGAATTCTGTTTGATTTACCAAGAGTGCTGTGGAATGTATCTCTGCTCATAGCTTTTTCAGTGGTCACTCTGTGTATTACTTCATATATACATAACTTATCATAGTTATATATATATATATATATATATATATATATCATAGTTTACTGTTGTCATCTTTTTATCCTGTCTTGTTTTAATTGTCTTAAATATTTCCTTTACATATTTTAGAATCATATAGATAATACTATTTTTCTTAAACAGTTAAACATAATGAAGAAAACTCAAGATAAGAAGGAAAGCCTATTGTATTTGCCCATGTTTTTGCTTTCCATGTTCTTTCTTCCACTCAGATGTTCCAAGATTCCTTCCTTTATCATTTTCTTCCTGTTTAGAGAAATTCCTATAGCTATTCTTTTGCAGGCAGATGTCCTGGTGATAAATTCTGTTAATTTTTTTTTAAATCAGAGAATGTCTTCATTTACCCTTTATTCCAGAAAAATAGTTTCACAGGACATAGGGCTCTGGGTTGAAAGGTTTTCTTTCTTTGAGCACTTGAAAAATACAGTCACTCTCTTATGGCCTCCCTGGCTTCAGATGAGAAATCTGCTGTTATTCGAATTGTATTTCCCTTGTAGATATGGTATCATTTTTCTCTGGCTACCTTTAAGACTTTTTATTTGTCTTCAGTTTTCAGAAGTTTAATTATGATGTATCTTGTCATGGACTTCTTTGAGTTTATCCTGTTTGAGTTCATTCAGCTTTTCAAATCTGTAGATTTATGTCTCTCACCAAATTTAAGTTTTCAGTGCTGTTTCTTAGAGTGCTTTTTTCAACCACTTTCTCTTTGTCCTCTCCTTCCAGGACTCCAGTGACATGAATGTTAGATCTTTTTCATTGTCTGCAGGTCCTTGAGGCTCTGTTTATTTATTTCAACCTTTTATTCTTTGTTGTTCAGATTGGATACTTTATCATTTTGTCATCTAGTTCACTGATTCTTTCCTGTCACTTCCATTCTGCTGTCAAGCCCATCCACTGAACTTTTATTTTGGTAGTTTTATTTTTCAGTTTTAAAATTTCTATTTGGTTCTTCTGTGTATCTTCTAGTTCTTTGCTGAGACTTCTAGTTCTTTGCTGATGATTTCTAATTTTTTCATTTGTTTCAAGCATGCTTGTGTTACTTGTTGGATATGATGACTGCTTTAAAATCTTTGTCAGATAATTCTAACATTTGTCATCTTGACATAGGAATATGTCTGTTACCTTTTTTCGTTCAGTTTGAGGTCTTCCTGGTTCTTGGTATGATGAGGAGTTTTCAACTGAAACGTGGATATTTTTATATTATGTTATAGGACCTTAGATCTTTATTTAAATCTTTTAATTGTTTTCCTCTCTTGGACACTACCTTATCACTGCCATCATGTCTAGATTCTGGAATCTAGAAGTTCAGATTCCCCACTTGCTTCCATTGACACATGAGAGGAATTCATCTTGTTACTGCTGCTGGGTAAGGATTAGAATGTTCTCGTCCCTCTTTCCCTGGTGACCTCCACTGACACTGTGCCAGGGGCACACAAGAGCTCATTACACAGCCAGCAGAGATGAAAGCCCTAGCTCCCTACTTGGTCTTCTCTGACACCATCTTTGTGGGGATATTGATATGCCCGGTTGTAGCCTTGCAAGGGTGGAAGTTTAGGCTCCCCATTCGGCCTTTGCTGGCATGGGTACAGGTTGGACCATAGTTTTTGCTGTGGTGCTTGGCTAGAATAGAGTCATTATTGTGTAAGAGTTTTCCTCTCTCTTGCTTGGCTGCCCCTTTTTTGGTCCCATGGCTACAGAGAGCAGGCTTTTGCTAGGACTTTTTTTGTCTGCATCCATTGGCATTTCTGGGTTGCCAGCTTGTTCTGCTCCAAGCCTAGGATACAAGAGGCAAAAAGAACCCAGGGAACTTCCTTCCAAATCATTCCTTGGGCCCTGAAATCCCGGGTACACTGAAATCTCTGGTACACTGGCCTTCTTTTGCTCCACTCTTTCAGAGTCTTTTTTTTTTTTTTGAGACGGAGTTTCATTCTTGCTGCCCAGGCTGGAATGCAGTGGCACAATCTTGCTTCACTGCAACCTCTGCCTCCCAGGTTCAAGCAATTCTCCTGCCTCAGCCTCCCAAGTAGCTGGGATTACAGGTGCTCACTACCACGCCTGGCTAATTTTTTTATTATTATTATTTTTAATAGAGACATGGTTTCATCATGTTGGCCAAGCTGGTCTCAAACTCCTGACCTCAAGATGATCCACCTACCTTGGCCTCCCAAAGTGCAGGAATTACAGGCATGAGCCACTGCGCCCGGCCTCAGAGTCTTTGATATTTCTTTTCTAGGGTGGTTTTTTTTGTTGTTGGTGTTGTTTGGTTTTTTTTTTTTTTTTTTTTTTTTGGACTGAGTTTTGTTCTGTCGCCCAGGCTGGAGTGCAGTGGTGCAATCTTGGCCCATTGCAACCTCCACCTCCCAGGTTCCAGCAATTCTCCTGCCTCAGCCTCCTGAGTAGCTGGGATTACAGGCACCCACCACCACGCCTGGCTCATTGTTGTATTTTTAGTAGAGACGGGGGTTTCGCTGTTGGCCGGGCTGGTCTCGAACTCCTGACTGAGGTGATCCATCCGCCTCAGTCTCCCAAAGTGCTGGGATTTACAGGCATGAGCCACCACACCCATCCTTTTCTAGGGTTTTTAGTTGTTCTTAGTGAGAAAAATAGGAAAAAGTTCTTCTACTCCATTGTCTTGGAAGTGGAAGTCCACCTGGGCTTTAAGGGTAATTTTTTTGCACATCAAATGCAACAATGATGGGTTGTTGTTGCCCCTCTTCTCAGCCCTGTGAAGATAGTACCCCGTTGCTTTCGGACCTTTGGAATCAAGACACCTAGTTTCTTTACAAGCCTTCTTTCCTTTCTTTCTTATTGCTTTTACAGTCTTCATGTGTATTCTGCAGTTTCACAATTATGTATTTATGTGTAGATTTATCCTTATTTATTCTTCTCATGGTTCAGAGTTATTTTTTATTTGAACAATCCTTTAATTTTAATTCTATAAAATTCTCAGCCATTATTTATTTTAACATGGGCTCTCTACCCTCATTCTCTTATTTTTTTAATTTCAAAATTCCTGTTAGATCCATGTTAGATCGTTTCCTTCAATCCTCCATGTCTCTTGAGTTCTTTTATATGTTCTGTCCTCAGCTCTCAGTACTGCCTACTGGTAATCTCCAGGTTTTATTCTGATTCACTAATTCTCTCCTCAGTTTTGTCCATTTTACTCTTTAACCTATCCATTGAATAATTAGTTTACAGACAGAGTGCTCTGTCACCCAAGCTGGGGTGTGGTGGCACGATTCTAACTCACTGCAGCCTTGAACCCCTGGACTCAGGTGATACACCCTCCTCAGTGTCGCAAGTGGCTGGGACTACAGGTGTGTGCCACCATACCCGGCTAAGTTTTTATTTTTATTTTTTTTAGGAACAGAATTTTCATATGTTGCCCAGGCTGGTCTTGAACTCCTGGGCTCAAACAATCCTCCCTCCTTAACCTCCCAAAGTGCTCATATTACAGTTGTGAGCCAACGCGCTCAGCCTGGAACTTTTTAATGCTAACAAAATTCTAATAGCATTATTTTTAGTTTGATTGCCTGTAACCATGTGAATATTATGAGAGGTTGAATAGGCTTCATCTCTCAGTGGTGATTAACATAGTTCTTAAGAAACGTGACAGAGCTAGGCCAAGCATCAGTAAAGGAACACACTCTTGGAGCTTAATTGAGGAGGGAGTGCTTGATCTGATCTGGAAAAGAGTGTGGAGGTGACACTTTCAAAGCTACAAACAGGGGAGCCAGGAATACAGAGCAGAGCCTTTGAGGCCACAGAAGGAGTCAGGCAGCAGTGGGGATTAGCAGTGGTGGGTCAGGAGCAAGGGTAAGGAGTGGACTTAGCAGCTGAGTCAAACGGGGAGGAGGGAGTTGGTGTTCTGGTACTCCCGAGCTCCTAAGCTCCTAAGCTATGCAGAATTACAGTTCTTTGGTAACAGAAAAAACAAAGTGAATTAACATGGGTAATATGAAGTTACTGATACTACATCATGCTAATTAAAAATTTCCATTTGGAAATCCTTTATTTCCATTTTATAAAAAATAATATCCCAAATTAAATATATTACTATGTGTAAAGAAGAAGTTATTCAGTTTGTCATTGAATCAGACAAATTTCGCACTTGAAGTGCTGACCTAAACTTGGCTTATGCCGTTATACAAATTACAGATGAGGGAAAAGAAGCAAGACCACGTAAATCTGCAAGTGCAGACAAAACTTATTTTTTTCCTTTTCCCTTTTCCCCTGCTTTTTAAGAAGAAGAAAGAGGTAGACTCTTCAAAGTCTACCAGGTTTATTCTTTTGTACAGAAAACACTTGAAATTTTCTAAACTAACTTTGCTGCCAACTGAATATGCATATTTCTTTGAATAGTGGCTAGCAAAGGGACAAGTTTTATTCATTCCAAGAGTAGTTTTCAGACTTTAACCTTGCAAAGTAATTATTCAAAGAGCACAGTTTGGAAAACCACTGAATTAACATGTCAGCCAAATATCTTAAATGTGAAAAGGTAAGTCAACATATGTATTGTCATTTCACAAGATACTCAGTTACCTCTTTTTCCTGTTATATTAACAACTAAGATACTAAATTTGATGATCGTGATCTAAGAAGAAATTCACAGCACTATTTTGAAGTTATTTTCACAGTCTCTTTTTATCTTTCAGATTTTTTGTTTAAGTTCTTGGTTATTGGAAATGCAGGAACTGGCAAATCTTGCTTACTTCATCAGTTTATTGAAAAAAAATGTAAGTGTCATGAAATTAGTCATTCTTCCGTGCATGTCTTCTGAGAGCCCTCTCACTCAGATTTGTTTACAGTAAACTTAATTTTTTCAGAGGAAAAAAGTAATAGTTTGAAAGTATTTTGAAGGGTTATGTTATTGAACTTTGGGTGATGTGATTTTTTATTAAGTTAGCATTTCTATTTAACAATGGTTCAGTATATGGTTACTTCTACTGTACATTTTGCAGATGCTGAGAGACCATATAGTGATGTTGAAGATAGCAGAGGGGTTCTGTGGCAGGAATCCTGTTTCCTGACAGAGCAGCCAGAGAAGCTCTAGGCATACATTTTGGATAAAATAACAACATTTGGTCCTCATAGTGGGCTTGTGTTGTAGTTAAGGCAGTTGCTGTCATCAATTCTGTTTTATAGGCCAGAAACAGACCTCTTGACCACACAGCCCATCTTTTACCATTGACTTTCACTGTTTTGGTAAAGGAGGTTGAATTTTTTATTTCAAACTATGTGAGACCTTGGAAGGCTGTAGAAGACTGTAGGTTTGAAAGGCCCTTAAAACAAAAAATGCTTTTTAATAATGGAAAGAATCGTGGAGAAAGACCTGTCTAGTTAGTGGCAGGTGGGTGAAGGGTCAAAAACAGAGTGTCTTATTTAATTAAGTTTATCTTAAGAAAGTATATGTGAGGCATGGTAGGTGGTGGGTAAAAAGGAGAAAGAACCAGTTTGGGGTGTTTTGGCAGAAAGCTTTGAAGAATAATAAAATCCTAGAAATTTACTCTGCTTCTTCCATTTTCATCACCCAAGAGCTTGTTGGAGCCTGTTTGTTTAGTGACATGGACCCAGTGTGGCTTAGTCACAGAACTGGTCCTTACTGAATTTAACAAGTATTCATTCACTGGATAGTTTATTTACAAGTTGCCAAGACTTTGTGTGGTACAGTCTTAGAAAAGAATACCCAGAGGGTACTGGGCCAAGTACCCAGCTTATGTAATCATTCTGTCCTCCTCAGAGAACTCCCCTGCATGGTCCTCTCTGCAACTCCTCACAACAGTAATGAACGGAAGGTCTCTCTTTGTAACCAGGATGCCCCTGGCCTTTAGTTACTATTTTTTTTAAGGATCTTACCCTGCATTTTTCCTGGTAGTTTACTCCTAATGGAATTTCCATACTAGTTCTATACTGTCTGGGCATGAAACAGACTAGCATAGTCACTGTAACCATTTATCTACCCTCTGCCCTGTAAATAATAAATCCAGTTGCCAGTGGCATCCCTGATCTCTGAAACAATTAAATTTTGTTCTGCAGTTACAAAATATAAACTAGCCAATGGACTGTATAGCTGCGATATTCAATTTCAGCTTATCTGTTTATCATCACAGAAATGTTCTTTCATAGGCAGTGTATTCCCGCTGGGTTTAGCAAAATACTTATTTTGCCTGTCTCCTGCCCATTCAAATAGTACTAATTTCTCCAACAAATTCATCCCAAATCATTTCCATAGAACACTACGATTAATGAAATCTCAAACACCTGTAGCTTGCATAGGGTTTTGTTTTGGGGTTTATTGGAGGGTGTATTGTTTTGGGGTTTGTTGGAGGGTGTTTTATTTTGGGGTTTTTTGGAGGGTGCTTTGTTTTGGGGTTTTTTGGAGGGTGTTTTTTCTTTGGTTCAATTTTTTTCCTCCTTTTCCCTTTTCCTCTGCTTTTCCTTCCACTCACTGTTATTTCTTTAAAATATTTAACCATTCAAATACAGTAGTTGAAACTGTCTCCACCTCATTACTTACTGAGTTCCACACCTGTCACTGGGCGTTATGCCCTTCAGAATGGTACGCTGGTATGTCAGCAGTCACCATCTGTGAGCATCTTAACAGTGCACAGTTGGATGTGGTTCGGATATGGCAGGGCTACTTTCAGGCATAGGTTTTTAAATGTATCATTTGTTTGGGGGTTTTGAGAAAAATCTTTATGTCTCTTTGAGAATAGGGGCTGTGTGTATTATCTTTAAAACTAAATGCATCTTCTCAATGGAATGTTGGAGAAATGAATGGCTAGAGTAATGTCCATTCCCCATTGATGTAACTCTTGGTTTTAGTGTCACTTGTTTAAATCTATAAGCCTGTTAATGTTCTAAAATTAAATATGCTGTTCTTGTTTTTCTTTTTTAGTCAAAGATGACTCAAATCATACAATAGGAGTGGAATTTGGTTCAAAGATAATAAATGTTGGTGGTAAATATGTAAAGTTACAAATATGGGATACAGCAGGACAAGAACGATTCAGGTAGCTTTTCTCTAACTTAATAAAAATATTTGAAAATTTGATTTAAAATAATTGATGATATTCTCTCAATATATAAGGTCTCACTCCCTCCCCAACACACCCCTTCCTTGTCCTAATCTCAGAAACTTCATTTTTGGAAACTTTGATTGACAAGACAGCTAAAATTTAGGTTAGCTCTCTGCAGCATGGATTACTAAAGAATACAGGAGGATCTCCGCGCAACTGCATTATAATTCGGAGGCTGACCCATTCTCAGGAGGATGTGGCACTGTGTATTGTACAGTATGTTTCTAGATTCAAATCAAAGCACAAGCTTGTTTTTCTGTGTTCCTTTTTTAAAGAAGAACTTTTTAAAACCTTGTGAGGGTTTGTTTTGTTTTACATTAACTAGAGCATGTTCTGATGTTTGATACACACTCCACAAAATATTCTCTCCACACTTTAATTACAATAGGGTCATAACTGAGGCTCAGAATGACTTCAGTCACTGCAAATGAGGTTACATGTTTAGTATTCTGTAACTACTAAAGCAAGAAAATAGATTAATATTTTAGTTGTGGTTTTTGCACAGATGCACAAAGTCAGAACTGATATTCATAGTTTTATAATTCAGTGAAATAAAATCCACCCCATTTGTAAACATTTCACTTGAAGTTGAGTACATGTCGTATATTAAATAATTGAAGTTTGGCTGGGCACAATGGCGCATGCCTGTAATCCCAGCACTTTGGGAGGCCGAGGCAGACCTCCTCACCTGAGGTCAGGAGTTCAAGACCAGCCTGGCCAACATGGTGTAACCCCTTCTCTACTAAAAATAAAAAAATTAGCCGGGCGTGGTGGCAGGTGCCTGTAATCCCAGCTACTCTGGAGGCTGAGGCAGGAAAATCGCTTGAACCCGGGAGGTGGAGGTTGCAGTGAGCTGAGATCACGCCATTGTACTCCAGCCTGGGCAACAAGAGCAAAACTCCATCTCAAAAATTAATTAAGTAATTGAAGTTCAATAATTGCTTCAAAAATACCATAACCACCTTTAATCACCATCATTTTTCTGGAAGCATTGATTAAACATGGTGGATTCAATTAGACATTTATGTCTTCCCTCTCAGAACCCCACTGAAATGTCTGTTAAGTAACTGAAATTGAAGTAACTCAAAAAGGCCAAGATTGAGTGAGTGCACAATTATGATTGAGAGATTTCCAAAAAAATCTTAAAGATAGGAAGTAGATGGTGCTCTGACAGCAGAAGGAGCTCCACCTTAAGTACTGTAATGGGGGAAGCCATTTCTTCCTCTGGAGTCCCAGAAAAGGTCAGGATTTGGAAGCATCAGGTTCTACAGGAGGTAGAGGTTACAGAGGTTCATGTTTACACACGAAATAAGAGGTTCAGTCTTTTACGTTGAAATGGAGTCTAGACTCAAGGTCATAAGGCCCACCTGAGGGCATGGGGTCAGGCCTGAAAAGAGGGAAATTAAGTGAAAATGAAAGCCTCTGGCCCCCAACCCACCTCCCCTACCTCTTCCCTGGTCGCTGGCAGCCAGGTGTGTATGTCCCACATAGGAGAAAGGAGCCTTCTCTGCAGAAAAATGAATAGTCAGAAAGGAAAGGCTTGAAGGTAGTGACATTTTGCTTTCCCAGTCAAACAGCCCAGTCTCTATCCAGTCATCTGAAAGTGAAACCCTCCAAGCCCACCTGCTCCACCCACACATAAAGAGCTTCTTTTAGACTTTTTCATTCCTTGCTCTTAATGATCAGGCAGAATTTTGAAGAAAGTTTCTATAGCAAAAGAGAGAGCTCAAAGTAAAGAAGCTGGAACTTTGAGGGAGTAAGAAAAACACACTAAAACCACAGTATCCTTAGGAAGAAGAGCAGAGATTGCATTGGAGTATGTAATAGAAACAAAGTCATACTTAAAAAGAGCAATCAGAATAATATGTTAAATAAACTCATGGTGAAAAATGGGAGAGATGACATAAAGAATCCTCCAGAATTAATCCAGAAGATGCAATGACTATTAGGAGTTCCAGAAGAGAGAAGAGCAGAGAGAATAATAGAAGAAAATGTTTCACTGAAGGAATGAGATTCCAGATTAATTGGCCCACCTAAAATCAAACATAGTAAGGAAAAAGTCCAGACCAGAGCGTGCCATGTGAAATTTCAGAACACCACAGATGAAGTAAGGAAGACCAGAAAGGTTCCAAGAGGGAAAAAGCAGCCACATATAAAGTGTGAAAAATGGAATTGCTTTGCACCCTTCCACAGCAACATTGGAAGCTAAAAGAAATGGAAGCATTGCCTTCAAAACTCAGGGTGAAATAATTCTTCAACCTAAAATTCTAAACTTAGCCAAACTGTAAGTGTGCAAGTAAAGGCTGAATACCAACAGATGTGCAAGAAAGAGGAGGAAGCCAAGATTATCTTTCTCAGAGACTTCTTAGAAATGTACTTTCTTAGAAAGTTTAGGAGGATATACTTCACCAGGACAAGGGCATGATCCCAGAAAGAGGAAAATGAAGCCAGCAGGAAGATCCAGCTCAGAATGGCACAGGTCTAGAGGGACAGTGAGGGAAGACTAAGACAGCAGTCAGTATGTGATGGCACTGCCCTTCCAGGAGGACCAGGGGAACAAGTGAGGGGCTCTGTAAGAGCTCACGACTCTGTCAGAGCGGGGAAGAAACAGCTCTGAAATTCAGTTTCCTAAACCTTTTGTAGAAATGAGAAGAAAGAAACTGTAAGATCCATGAGTGTAAGGGTTTTTGAGTTTTCTGTTTGTTTCCCCTGTGCCCAGAATAGTGTCTAGCACACAGGGGCGCAGTATGTGCTCTTTTAATGACTTAATTAAAGGAAACCCAGTTACCAGAAAGAGAGAACTCACCTCGCTTGTGGAGAGTAGGGCTCCCAGAGAGGAGTGAGGCAGGAGATGGCTGTGTTTAATTTAGAGACTTTTCGTGACATTTCACTTTAAAACTATCCACATGTATTATATTGGTTAAATTACTTTTGTAAGAAAATGTGGCACATATACACCATGGAATACTATGCAGCCATAAAAAATGATGAGTTCGTGTCCTTTGTAGGGACATGGATGAAATTGGAAATCATCATTCTCAGTAAACTATCGCAAGAACAAAAAACCAAACACTGCATATTCTCACTCATAGGTGGGAATTGAATAATGAGAACACATGGACACAGGAAGGGGAACATCACACTCTGGGGACTGTTGTGGGGTGGGGGGAGGGGGGAGGGATAGCAATGGGAGATATACCTAATGCTAGATGACGAGTTAGCGGTTGCAGCACACCAGCATGGCACATGTATACATACATATGTAACCTGCACATTGTGCACAGGTACCCTAAAACTTAAAGTATAATAATAATAAATAAATAAAAGGAAAAAAAAAAGAAAATTTAACACCTCAAAGTAGTATTCTTAAATGTGTATATTTGTATACTGGAGTAATTTGTATAAGAAACTATTTGTCAAGACAGTGTTGTAAAATAAATTTGAAAGTAAAATTTTAAGAAGTAGATGTGATACAGCTTATCTTGAAGAGAACTCGTAGTTCCCTCTTCCTCTAGAAGCTAGGTGCCTGCTGAGCAAGAATAGAAAGGCGCTGCCTCTTAATAGATGTGAACAAGCGAGGCCTTTCCCCCTGCCTTAGGAGGCTGTGGGGTGAAGAGCAAACAGTCCACTCTGCACCTCTACCTGCCACCAGTCCTTAAAGCGTGTGCCTCTTGCTAACAGTCTCAAGGCAGAGAGGAAAAGCTTCAAGCTACATGAAGACCTTGAAGCTTCCTGACTAAGAGCTAAAAAGTACATTTAAAAGTAGCTCTTCTTTGCCAAGCAGCAAAGTAATAATTAGTAATTTTGTTTGTTTGTTTGTTGCAAGCTGCACGGGTTTCTTTGTTCTCCAAGGATAGTTCATTCCTCTGGTGTCTTTTTTTTTCTGACATCAAGTCTATGGGGTTTTTCTTCACACCAGCCAGTCGGATTCTCTGACACCAGCTGGGTGTCCAACACTTCAATTCACTTTTGACACTACCCAGAGTTAAAGGGGACCCTCCAGGCTAAGGAGACCTAGACTGCCACCCCCGCTTCAGACACCAGTCACAACTGGAGTGCCCAGGCTTCCTGCACTTCTTGGCCAAATACAGATCTGGCAGTTCCCACACCCTCCATCCCTCACATCCCCATCAGGTTGGAGAATTTGTTAGAATGATTCACACAACTCAGGAAAAACATTTTTCCTGGCATTTACTGGTTTGTTAGATAGGTGTCAATTCAGGCACAGCCTGGTGGAGGAGATGCTTAGGAGACGAGGTATGGGGATGGGCCACCTCCCAGCACCTCCATGCCACCACCAGCCCAGGAGCTCTCTGACCCCCATCCTTTTGGTTTTTTTGTGGAGGTTTTATTACAAAGGCACGATTGATTAAAACATTATCCATTGATGATTGACTCAATCTCCAGCTCCTCTTTCCTCCCCAGAGGGCTGAGGTGAGGCTATAAGTTCCAGCACTCTCCTCACTCGGTGAGGGCTCCCACGGCCACAGCCCCGATCCCAAGGCTCTCTAGCCTGCTACTCTTCCCACAGTTATCTCCTTGGCTTACAAAAGACACCTTTATCACTAAGGAAATCACAGGGGTTTGGGCCTCTGTGCCAGGAACCTGGGACGAAGACCAAATATATATTTTTTAATTTAATTAGGCCACAGTTAAGTTCTGGGAATGTCTAGCTAGCAGTGGTCCAGGCCCTGTGCTAGGCACTGGGATCCTCTGGTGAGTGAGACAGCAGAGCCCTGCCCCATGGAGGGGAGGCAGGCAGCCAACACAGAGACAGAGACAGAAAGAGCATCCCACCAAGTGGGATGGTGCCACCCAGGAGACAGCACGCTGAGATAGAGGGGGTCCACTGGATGGGGATGCTTGGGGAACGTTGCTGAGGAGATAGAGTTAATGAGACCCAAGGGACAAGGAAAGCCAGCGGTGTGACGAGCCCAGACGGGAGTGGCAGGGGCTGGGAGCAGGGAAGAGAATGGGGCCAAAGGGACAGGTACAGTGACGGAGATGTCCTGTCCTGGGCCTTGATGAGTTGGGCTGCTCTGAAGAATGGACTGTGGGCCACACATGGCAGCAGGGACAGCAGCGTGGGCAGACACAGGATTTGTGTAGTGTAGGAGACTGCACTAGGCTGGCGGAGTGAATGTGGAGGTGCACAGGAATTGAGGATGAATGTGGAGCTGATTTGCTTTAGAAACAGGGTGCGTGGTGATGCCTCTTCCTAGGCCAGGACGGGCCTGGAGGGTGGGACCAAAAAGAGTCCTGCTGTGCAGATGTTAAGTTTGACATGTTTATCAGGCAGTCTCATGGAGATATGGAGGCAGCACTTGGATCTGAGCTGGAGACAAAATTTGAGTCGAATGTTAAGAGAGCCCAGGACCCAGCTCTGGGGAATCGCAATCCCAGCAGGGCAGATTCAGAAGAATGACCAGAGCCAGAGAAGTGGCTGGTGAGCGGGAGGAAGACTAGCAGAGTGCAGGGCGCAGAGGCTGCGCGAGTGAGTGAGGACAGAAATGCCCACTCCAGCTTCGGTTGCAGAGAGGGTGGGGACCTTGACAGGCTTTTGGGGAGTAGCAGAGATGGACACTAGGTTGGCGGTGAAGAAGAGGAAGCTGCAGGTAAAGACAGCTCTTTCAGAAAGTTGGATGTGGGGCCACGCGTGGTGGCTCACGCCTGTAATCCCAGCACTTTGGGAGGCCGAGGCGGGTGGATCATCCGAGGTCAAGAGTTCGAGACCAGCCTGGCTAACATGGGGAAACCCCGTCTGTACTAAAAATACAAAAATTAGCCAGGCGTGGTGGCGGGTGCAGCTACTCAGGAGGCTGAGGCAGGAGAATTGCTTGAACCTGGGAGGCAGAGGTTGCAGAGAGCTGAGATCGCGCCATTGCACTCTAGCCTGGGTAACGAGCGAAACTCTGTCTCAAAAAAGACAGTTGGATGTGGAGAAGAGCAGACAGTGGGACAGTAACTGAAAAGATGGTGCAGCATATTTCTGTTTTGTGTTTTAAGATGGGCGGTACCAGAGCCAATTTATTTTTATTTTGCTAATAGGAAAAATCCTGAACTCCTGGCTTTTTTTTTTTTTTCTTTCTGTTGCCTGGGCTGGAGTGCAGTGGCATGATCGCTCACCGTCACCTCAAATTCCTGGGATCAAACAGTCCTTCTGTCTCAGCCTCCTGAGTAGCTGGGATTACAGGTGTGTACTGCCATACCTGGCTAATTTTTTGTAGAGACAGGGTCTCTCTCTCTTACCCAGGCTGGTCTCAAACTCCTGGCCTCAAGCAGTCCTCCCTCCTGGGCCTCCTAAAGTGCTGGGATTATAGGTGTCCGGCCACTAATGGGAAAAATCTCACAAAGAGGGTGAGATTGACAATGTAGGGGAAAACATGTATGACCAAAAGACGCCTTCTTGAATGTGAGAGTGGATATGACATACTGGGACACTCAGTTTTCCCGTAGTAATAGGGCAGGGATGCAGGTGGGTGTAGGGCCGTGGTGACTATGGATTCCTGTGGTGACTATGGATTCCACCGCGCCGAGAGGTGGCGAGAACTGGAAGAGATGGAGAAAATTGTGCCAGGGAGTGGGGTAGATGAGGAGCTCGCAGAGAAGTGAGTGGATTGCTGAGCCCCTTAGTGTCCATCTAGGGGGTGGTGCTGGCTTCCGCAGACAGCTCACCCTGCTAGGAGTTCTCAAAGGAGACATCCATCAGAGAGCTGCATCCGCTGTGAAGGAATCTCCTACTTGCCACAGTGATGTGATTTCAGGCAGAATAACCCCTCACATGTATGTTCAAATATCTTTGAATCATTTCTCTTTTAAACCAGTGTCTGTCCCTGTGTTGTGGTTTACAAAGCAAGCATGGGTGTTTTTTCATGGGAAAGTGGGATACAGTAAAGGGTCTCAATTGGTTGAAAGTAAAACCAGTATAATTCTTCCAGGTCCGTGACGAGAAGTTATTACCGAGGCGCGGCCGGGGCTCTCCTCGTCTATGATATCACCAGGTAATGCCAGCTCCCCCTGGTGAAGGAGGGTGCTCAGTGCCCTGCAGCCCAAAGGCTGGTCTTGGCGAGGTGCCCTCCGTGCAGTGTGTGCTTTGTGTGTCCAGGGACGGTGGTGTGGCTGGCATCCAGGAAGCCCCTTAGCCCTTCCATCTGGGGTCTCAGAGGTCTTTGAACGAGCCCCTACCACTGCTTTCCCCTGCAGAGAAATGTGTTTGTAAGGTTTTAGGTGGATAAAGCAATCCATGCTATTACATTACATTTCTTGACATGATGCTTGGACACTTTCCTTAAGGTTCACAAAGCTTTATGTATGGAAAGTTATTAGAAGTGAGTTGAGAGAGGGTGAGGACACAGACTCTGGGCTGAGATTGCTGGGTTCAAATCCCAGTTGCAGTCACTAGCTGATTGACCCTCTCAGGCCAGGTGCTTCAGCTGCCTGGGCCTTAGTTTCCTTGTCTGTAAGATGGAGATAGTAATAATCACATGATCCTCAGGAGGTTATTGGGAGGTTTAAATTAGTTAATGTGAAGCAGTTAGTAGCTGTTTGTGACATATGGCAATTTAACTGAAATAAAAAATTCTGTTCCTCGATTGCACTGGCCACATTTCAGGTCCTCAGTAGCTACATGTGGCTGGTGACTACCATATCAGGACAGATTATAGAACATTCCTATCCATGAGGAAATCACATTCAGCAGTGCTGATCTCAGTAGCACTGTCTTAGAAATGTGTCATCTAAATGGCATCATCTGGGGGCCCTTTCTGGGTAGGAACCTGTCCAGTGAGAGGATGTCACTCAGCAGCCGCTTCCCTCTTCCAATCTGTGTCCCGGGAGCCAGGCGTTCTGAGAGGAGGAAGGCAGTTTCTGGCCCAGCCCTTCCTGCACTTGCCCAGGCAGTGAAAGGCTCAGCCTGCTAAAGTGTGAAGTCATCAATCAGGCTAGCAAAGTGCCATGAGAAGAACTCAATCCTTAGACACATGAGGGCCAAAAATAGTAAGTCTGAGAGTTGGTCCTGGAGTCAGACAGAGCTGGTCAAGTCCTGACTTTGCCACTGGCTGCTGTATGACCTAGGGCAACGTAATTAATCTCTCTGGGCCTTGGATTTCTCAGAGAAAAGGGGAATAATGGCAGTCTGTGTCATGGAATCTTTATAAAGAATCAATGTGATAAAGTCCTGTAAAACAAAGTGCTGGCACATTGCAAGGATTCATTAAGTGGCAGCAATTAGCTATGAAATCTTGCCTACCAGAGTCTAGTGCCTTGCGCATGCTAAGAGCTCAATAGATATTTGTCAATTGAATGAAGGAACATCTCTTTCCTTTTGCCCCATGACTGGGCAAACGAAAAATAACAAAATATCTCACTTGCTGTCTCATTTTACCAGAAACAAAATGGAACAAACTGTGGGTATGGTATATACTTGGTGCATTCACGTTGTCTGAGTTATCTTAAAGGTGTTGGTGCCATTACCCTGAAATGTTGAAAAGCGGTATGAGTAGTGAGAATGACTGGAAAGAGTTGCTAGTTTTATAAAATACATGTATTATTTTCACAATCTTATATTACGCAGCCGAGAAACCTACAATGCGCTTACTAATTGGTTAACAGATGCCCGAATGCTAGCGAGCCAGAACATTGTGATCATCCTTTGTGGAAACAAGAAGGACCTGGATGCAGATCGTGAAGTTACCTTCTTAGAAGCCTCCAGATTTGCTCAAGAAAATGGCAAGTGACCTTTTACTTCTTACTATTTTTCAAATCGCATATTTGAGGATAATAGCATTTCTTTGAATTTAAAACATATATTGGAATTTCAAGATTAAACTAGATTTAGGAAATGTGGAATTTCCAATTGTTTTTTTCTATAAATTAGACCTATTAAGCATATTTTTAGTATATTGCATTCTGCCTGCAGAAGTTACTATAATGATAAAAGCAAATGTAGTAACATTATGTAATGACTTTTCAGTCTAGGGTCTTTGAATATTAGAGATCTTGGGCTAAAGTGAAATTAATAATATTTAAAGACTCTAACCAAATGATGTCATTATTTTTTAATGTATTTTGAAGGAAATTTGGTGAAATATTAACCCAAATAGAAAGGGAAGCGGAAGAAGAAATACTTGGCTTTTTGGCTTCATTTTAAGTCATTTGGTTATAGACAACTTTGAAACTTTTTTGAATTTCCATATAGAATACATGAAAATGCCACATAAAATTAATGGTTGCTTAATTAATGGATAAGAGAATGATTTTTTAAAACTTCAGACATTTTAAATAACTTTAATTTTTAGAACCAAAAACTAGAATCCTAATATCAATATTTGGACTCTAAGATTCCAAATTATATTGTAACTTGACTAGTTTCTTGCTAAGAAAATAAACATGAGAGAAATCCATATGCCATCATGACAGTTTTTAAAAAGCTGTTTAGAAATCAGAAGTTTAGAATGTTAACAAAGATGAAAAGGAATTTAGATGTCATCTAAACTCATTTTTACAAGTGAGGATACAAGAGGCTAGAGAGGCCATGGTTTGCTGAGAGAGCAAGCAGAACAGGCCTTTCTGCTGAGATGAACAGCCACTCTGGTGGGTAGAAAGAGTATTAATTCCTATACTGTCTCTTCATGGGCTGTATGACAGATTGCAATATAGTCCCCTAAAAAGTGTAAACACTTGTAGGTCATATTTGTGGTGACACTCAGATTGTTTGAAGAAGGACATTGCAACTTTCCCTGAAATCAATGGCAGGGCCATTTTGGCAAGCCAGCTCCTTTCTGATGGGCTGTCATTTGGCTGGGGAAGCCTGGTTGCTTGCTCAGCCCCTTCACCAGGTTAAGTGCTAGCACAAGATAGCAGTTACTTTTCAGAAAAGGCTAAAATTCTTTTAACATTTAAAAAACACATAATGACATATATTGATTTTATATTTACAGAAATATATGGTTTTAGGTCATAAATTATATTTCGTCTGCTTTTCTAAGAGAATGCTACACAGGCTTTTGTAAGTGAAAATTATGATCATCTTCTAAACATGACTTTATTTTGTTTGATGTCCATTTTAGAGCTGATGTTTTTGGAAACAAGTGCGCTCACAGGGGAGAATGTAGAAGAGGCTTTTGTACAGTGTGCAAGAAAAATACTTAACAAAATCGAATCAGGTAAAAGCCTTTCCATTAAGCAACTTTTCTTCTGCATATTTTACACTGTAGCTCAGTAGATCACCTTTTAATTAATAGTTTCAGGGTGATTT
This sequence comes from Homo sapiens, assembly GCF_000001405.40. Taxonomy (NCBI): domain Eukaryota; kingdom Metazoa; phylum Chordata; class Mammalia; order Primates; family Hominidae; genus Homo; species Homo sapiens. Next base: position 229,299,165 of record NC_000001.11, read on the forward strand.
AGTAAAGAATGTTCTCTCTCTACCTGCCAACCTAAAATCATCACATATGGGTTCAAAGGTCCTGTTCTTATCAGGATGAAAGCCCCATCCTTATCAGGATGGTTTCCATGGTGATGAAAGTGGATGGGCACACCAGCTCAGCTGTGGAAAGGTAGTCAAGGTTTCAGGGAGTGTTTGCATTTAGAACCATAGTCTTTCTTTGGTCCTTCACTAAACGGAGGAAGAATAGGCCTTTGTCCACTCTGTCAACAGCACGCTAATTCTGTTGGGCCAGTGGTCATGTGTAAGGGAGTTATAGGTACATGGTATAGTGTTGATTGTTGCAGATCGGGCATCATGGAACTATGGAGTCCAGAGTAATTTTATTTCTGAAGCTTACTGAGCATGCCTCAATTATAAAATGCCTCATTTTTGTATTTGCTTATTAAAATAATTTAAAATAATCCTAATGTAGGCAGCTGACGAAATACTGTGTAGTTGTCATTTACTAAAGTAACTATATATGGGCATCACCTTTTAATTGATTCATTCAAACATCTGAGTGCCTATTTGTCAGATGCTGGGATACAAAAATGAATAAATCACACCCCTTGCCCCCCAAGAAACTGTCTTTCATGGGAGACAGTCAGAGGATAATTATAATATCACAAGGCTGATGTAGTAGCTGAGAGATGCACAGGCTCAGGGTAACGTGAAGAAGGGGACCTGCCCCAGCCAGAGGATAGAGGAGGTGTCAGGGAGGGCTTTCAGGGGAGGTCTTAGATGAGCTCAGTCTTTCAGAATATAAGGAAGAGTGAGCCAGCAAAGGGAGTGAGGAAGAGGGAATAGCAGGAGAAAAGGTTGAAGAAAGGCAGGAGCCAGCCAGTCCTCATCAAGGATCTAGAACTTTATCTTGTAGATTACCAATTGTCAACCCTGGATGAGCACTAGAGACACTGAGATGCATTAAAAGTTCTAATCCCAGGCTCTGCCTCTGGAGACGCTGAACTAATTGGGCTGAAGTATGGTCGAGGCACCAGTGTTTTTAAATGTTTACTCATGCTGTTCTAATGTTCATCCAAGATTGAGAACCACTGCTGTAGGTGGTGGGTTGTCAGCAGGTGGGTGATGTGATTGGGTTGTGACTTGAGATAAGTCATGTATGTAGGAGGTTATGTTGAAAACAAACTGAAGGGAGGACAGGCCTGGAGGCCAGGATACCAATTATAAGGCATTTTTGAGTAATCCTAGTAAGAGATGACTGATTAATGCTTTAACAAGGATATGGAAGCAGAGATGGAGAGAGAGATGGATCTAAGATATATTTAGGCAGTAGCATCTTATGACTCATATGCCCAATAGTGGGACAGGACAACTGACTCTTAGGTGGGACAAGGTGAGGAGGAAGGGCCAGCAGGGGAGGAGGAACCAAGGATGACTCGCAGCTGTCACACTGGTGTCTCTAGACAGAGATGGGGTGGAGCCAGAGGAGAAGCAGGGAATGTGAGGGAGTAAAGATGGCTCTGTTGCAAATGTGCGGCCTTTGCGGTAACGCTGAGACATGAACATGGAGTTATCTAGTAAGCTTGGGGAAGAGTTCCTGGCTGGCAGTATAAGTTTGGGAACCATCAATATATAGGAACAGCTAAAACTGTGGAAGCAATGTGATCGTCCGGAGAACAGTGTTTAAGGAGAGCAGTGATCAACAGAACCCTGGAGTTGGAGGATGAGCAGAGGAAGAGGAATCTACAAAAAAGATGAAAAAGGAAATGGTCGGAAATGTGTGAAGAAAATCAAGGGAATGTGGGTGTCACTTAAGCCCTAATTATAAGCAAATCAAAGGAGTGTTCATTATGTAATGTAATAGTAACAGAGGGAAGCCTCATAAGCTAAGACTGAGCTGAAAAACACACATTGGGATGGGGAATAGAAAGTCAGTGATCATTTTGATCAAGAACAATTTCAGCAGAATTATGAAGGTAGAAGATGGCTGGCCGTCCGTTAGGAAGAAGTAGGAGGTGAGCAAGCAGAGTGTCCACTCCTCTCCTGAGGAAGCACAGGCTGGCACTGTAGGGTGCAAAGGGTTAATTTAAAGCTGGGGTTGTGGGTGATGGGAGAAATTCCAGCATGTTTAAATGCTGAGGGGGAAGGAGAGAAGAATGGGCAAGGAGAGGGCAGGGAAGAAGGAGGGTGCTAGGTGAAGTAGGAGGGAGGAGAGTCGGGCCCAGGTAGAAGGGCTGGGTTTCAACAGAAGTGGACATGTCATCTTTTTGTATTTTTTTTTATCAGAAAGAAAAAAAAATTACTAAGCTTGGTACAAAAACCAAGACACTGTTACATAAATCCTTACAGTTGGCTTACTGTTGAGTATTATTAAGCTCAGCATGAGGTTGTATTTACATGACCTTGCTATTTTAATATTGTATCCCTGAATGCATCAGATAGAACAACTCATATGCAGTCTTCCAAGATGTGTTTTTTTCTGAGATCATCAAAATCATAAGTACCTCTAGGTGAAAAAAATATAAGAGTATAAATTAGGATTCTTCAGCAGTACTTTTTATTTTTTTAATGGGTAATACATTCAGAAACCATTGTTTTCTTCCCTTTTTTTATATAAAATGTATCATATGATAGACTACCACGCCTTGCTTTTTTACTTACTATTGTATAACCTACAAATCATTACAAATCAGCTTATAGTTTCCGTATATACATATAATACATAAGGTACATATATATAACATAATGTCATACATAATGTGTGTGTGTAATGTGTAATATGGGTTGAGTATCCCTAATCCAAAATGTTCCAAAATCTGAAACTTTTTAATTGCCAACATTGCCACTGAAAGGAAATGCTCATTGGAGCACTTCAAATTTCAGATTTTCAGATTAGGGATGCTGAACTGGTAAGTATAATGGAAATATTTCAAAATCTGAAAAAATCCAAAATACTTCTGGTTTCAAGTATTTTGGATAAGGACTGCTCAACCTATATTTGGATAAGGACCGCTCAACCTATGTGTTACCATAATTCATGAGCCAGTCTACTTTGGACATTTGGGTTGTTGCCAGTATTTTGCTATTATAAGTAATGTTACAGTAAATAATTATATATATATATATATATATATATATATATATATATATATATATATATATATTTTTTTTTTTTTTTTACATGTGCATGAGTCTGTGTGTCAGACAAATGCCCAGAAGTGGAATTGCTGGGTCAGAGAACATAAGCATTTGGGATCTTGGTGTAGAGGCTGTCACATTTTCTCCTAGTGATGGGCTTATTTCACTAAAGCCATGTCCACAGCATGTAGTATCATCATACTTGGACTTTTGGCCCATCTAATAAGTGAAAAATTATATCTTTGTAATTTAATTTTAAATTATTTTATATAAATAATGTATTCACATAATTTGAAATTCAAGAAGTATAAAAGAGTATGCAATGAAAAGTCCCCCTGTTACCACCCCCTCCTGTCCTCAGCCATCTAGAACTCCTCCGAATCAGCCGTTCCTTATGTATCCTGCTAGAGATGTTTTGTGCCGGTGCAAGCAAACATATATATAGTTTTTTCCCTTTATTCAGAATGGTGGGATATATACACAGTGTTCTGTACTTTGCTTTTTTTTTTTTTAATCTATTTTTGGAATCAAAGAAACATAAAAGCCTTTTTTAAAAGAAGACTTGCTTGGTCCTTAGGTGAGCTGGACCCAGAAAGAATGGGCTCAGGTATTCAGTACGGAGATGCTGCCTTGAGACAGCTGAGGTCACCGCGGCGCGCACAGGCCCCGAACGCTCAGGAGTGTGGTTGTTAGGAGAGCACACAGGTGGGTTTGGACACCTCCCTGCCCTGAGTTCCTGGCAAGCTCAAGTGCAGAGGCCTGTTAAAGCTTTGGGAAGCTGCAGTATGAAAAAGAGGGGATCCCAGCCGGGTGCAGTGGCTCTAATTCCAGCACTTTGGGAGGCTGAGGTGGGCCAGTTGCTTTAGTTCAGGAGTTCGAGACCAGCCTAGGCATCATGGTGAAACATCATCTCTACAAAATACAAAAAATTAGCCAGGCGTGGTGGCGTGCACCTGTAGTCCCAGCTACTCATGAAACTTAGGAGAATTGCTTGAGCCTGGGAGGCGGAGGTTGCAGTAAGCCAAGATCATACCACTGCACTCCAGCCTGGGCGATAAAGTGAGAACTGTCTCAGAAAAAAAAAAAAGAGAAGGAGAAGAACCCATAAGTTAAAGTTGGATGTTCTAACTGAAAGAATTTATACTCTATAGGAAATTCTTATGCTCTTGTTCAGAAAGAAAGGAAGGGCAGGTGGTGGTTGATGGGAAGGGTGAGATATCCTGATTCCTTATGTCAGTGAGGAGCCCTTCCTGGATTGATTGAGGTCTAAATGAATGTGCCTTTTGCTAAAACAGGAGGCCTATTTATAAAATTGACAAATGTCTCCCTTTAACTTTTTAAAGCTTCTTCTTTTTTCCCATTTACCACAGTGGACGTTTTATTTATAGTCGACATCATGTAGTAGGCACAGGCAAGTGTTAAAAGACAAGATATTCACGAATTCTCTTTTAGGCTTTAAGCTGTATTTACTTTTGCATTTATAGTTATGCAGATTTTGAAATTGTTCTTAATATTTTTTAGGTGTTCATACAGTGGCATTTGGGACACAATCGTTGGAACCTGAAGAATCTGAAGTTTTTTTTACCACCATCTTTTTCTACTCTGTATGGAAGTAGATCTTTATGGGGAAAAGAGAATTTGGGGTGTTCTGCAAGCCAGTCAAAGTGGCACAGCAAATCATATAAATCGAATTAAATGGACAACACCGTTAGATGTGTATGTAAAAATTTTCTGTTTCATATTTTTCCTTTCACTTTCGGTTTAAAACATGCTATATGTACTGTATGTCCTGTAGCCCAGTGCGGCTCCACAGCATGGAATCTGATGTATGATATGATAGAATGTGGCACTAAATGCAGTTTCAGATTTTATTTTTTTTAATCATATGAACTAAAATTGTCAATTGTGAGGTGTGCTTTTCTCATCATGTTGGTTATATTGCACAATTGGTTATATTTATGACCTGATATTCAAAGACTCTGGCATTGATAGCCAGTGTGTTTTCTTATTTAACTCCGTTTACTACATTCTACATGGTGTTTACGTGATCCACACTTGAAATACTAGATCAGTAGACATTCACTAATATACCAAAATAAAATGAAAAATTGAGTTTTTCCGTGAACTTTATACTGTCCAGCTCTGTTGATTTTAAAGCCTCTTCATCCAGGTCAGTTCAGGAAGTATATCTGGAGTACCTGCTCTGTTTTTGGCTGTGAGACTAGCACTAAGGATTCTGGTACCTTTACCCAAACCTACTGGGCTACTAATACTTCTCTCAGCAGTTGATCAAATACAATAGACCATGTAAGCTGGGGCCGCTCATCCACTTCCAGTTTGCTGGTCTCCCTGCTAGAAAACACATTGTACTGTGCTTTTTCTGGAATTCAGTATAATGGCATCACTGCCTGTTTTTCACATCTTTTGTTTCCTGTTCATTTTAAGGAAACCTACTAAATCCAGTTAATATTAAATGGACACCACTCATTAAGAAATTTCTTTATGGCTTCTGCTGAATACTTAAATGCCTTACTACAGTTATCCAGTTGACATGTTTTTAATTCATATAAGGTATATTGGGTATATTGAAGTATATATTGTATTACAAAGACTTGTTCTTGTATTTTAAAATGTCAGTGCAAAAAATATATGGTGGAACCTTTCTTTAAAGTTGAAATGCAGTATTATTTAAATCTGAAAGGTTAAAAAGCTTTCTTCACCTTATATATGTTCTTCCACTGTGACTTTTTAGTTGAAGACTAGTAAATTAACTTTTAGTTAGAAGATGCCTACTGCTTTTGTTGTTTATTTTAATCAGCAGAGCACAGAGACACATAAAAACTCTGGGAAATGACTAGGATAAAAATATCAGTATGTATCTGTTTTAGATATTTTGAGTTTTGCTTTTTTTATGCCTTGAATATTTTATTTCAAAAAGTATCTGAAGCAAATTCTCAGACTGAACTACTTCTTAGACCTCACTGTAAGAATATTTTATTCAATGTCTCATTTATGATAGATTTGCAAGCTGCTCATTTTTGAACAGCTTTTTGCATGGGATAGGAGCATGTCTATTCTAACACATCAGCTTATTCAAAAGCAAGAATTTTAAAAATAAGATAAATGTAAAGTTGTTTTATAAACGATCCTGTTAATTAAACCACAGACACCATATATCCTTCTGCATCCTTTGGCCAATAAAAGTTGCTGGAGAACCAAACCATGGTGGTTCTTAATCAGGCTTTGCCTTTAGGGAGAATGAGGAGGAGAGATAATTGGGTATTGTTCAGGCTAGTAATAAATGTCATGTTTCTATTTCCCGCAACTCATTAAGTTTTCAGGAAGCTCTTAATTTAGATTTCTAGGAAAGTAATTATTCAGTCTTCCTAGAAAAAGATTATAAAGACCATTTAAACTGGAGATTGTAATTTATTCTTTTACAGTCCAGCATTTAAGTGAAAATGAGAACATCACAATTTGGGAATCTGTAATGGTTTTGTTGAAAACATTACTTGTGGCTTGTATAAGAGTGGCTGAATTCAAGAACATTGATTCTTAGCAGATCAATAATAGTATTTAAAGAATCTGATGCTAAAATTAGAAACCTAAATGATTTGTAATTTGTACTGTGACACAGCAGATGATGTTTCCTTATTTTCTGACATCTTTTTATGTTTTTGGAGAGGCACATTAGAGGTGCTTTAAAAAAAACCTGTGAATTTTTAATATTTTGTGGTGCCATTTGTGAAGCACCTCTTTCCTGATCCATCTAACTACTCCTGTACGTACAGTCTGAGTTTGTCCCACTTGTTGACTTGGTTACTTCCCTATTGTATTTATTTCTTTAAAGGGTTGTTTTAGAATTTTAGAGGAATTTATCTGAGAACACAAGATCTACCACTTTCAGTAGGACAAGTGACCCAAGTTGTTGGTCACCAGCCTCAAAGTTTAGAAAACACTACCTACTACCTACTGATAGAAAATAATGTGGTTAGGGAATCTGTTTTTTTCTTTTAAAAGAGCATTTATGTACTTTTTTCCTTCATATATCCCCCTCATTTTTTTTCTTTTTCTTTCTTTTTTTTTTAATTTTATTTTTTGTAGAGACAGGGAGGGTCTCACTGTGTTACCCAGGCTGGTCTCAAACTCCTGGCCTCAAGGGATCTTCCCACCTCAGCCTCCCAAAGTGCTGGGATTACAGGCATGAGCCACCATGCCTGGCCCCCCCCAGGTATAATATAATATAAATATAAATTTATATTATGAATTATATAGATTCTCCCTTTATATACTTATAAATTTTTTATAACAGATTTTCAAATGTAGAGAAAAATAGCCTAATGAACCACTATATCAGCCAGCTTTAACAATTGCCTACATTTTGCGATCTTGTTTTCTTTATCTTTACCCAGCGTTTTCATACTATGGTACTTGAAAACATCCGAGGCATCTGTCATTTCACCCAAAAATACTCAGGGCCGGGCGCGGTGGCTCACGCCTCTAATCCCAGCACTTTGGGAGGCTGAGGTGGGTGGATCACGAGGTCAGGAGTTCGAGACCAGCCTGGCCAACATGGTATAACCCCGTCTCTACTAAAAACACAAAAATTAGCCAGGCGTGGTGGTGGGCGCCTGTAGTCCCAGCTACTTGGGAGGCTGAGGTGGGAGAATTGCTTGAACCCAGGAGGCAGAGGTTGTAGTGAGCCAAGATCATGCCACTGTTCTCCAGCCTGGGCAACAGAGAAAGACTCCATCTAAAAAAAAATAAAAATAAAAAATAAAAAAAAAAAATTGGTCAGTATGCATCTTTGACAATAGCATTTTCTAAAAATTTTATGAAATTTCCATACCATTGGGAACTTAACAAAGCCAAGGCTATTTATGTTTTTCATATCTTGCAATCATATAAAGTTGGTTTTCTGATATGTGCTAAAACAGCAAAATGTGTCTTTCGTGAAGCATTGGAGACAGTGACTTCCCAGCATGTGTCCAGTTGTACAGAAGTGCTATTCCCTGGCCCAGGGGCAGTTGTACCTTTAGCAGGGATACCAGGACCATCAGCCTGCTATACATAGCCAGCATGGCTTTGGAGGGCTGGTACCCCTTGTTGCACTGGTTTTAAAACACTCCTGCCAATGTAGTAACATGAGGCATATTTACTTTAAATCATCTCTACAAATTTGAAGATATCATCTTCAAACTACTCTATTTGAAGAATGTATTTTACTGTAAAGGCAACATTTAACTTTGATGCATGCTTGTCCGGACCATATGTAACTGTATACAAGGGGGGTTGAGCCATTCCTTTTTTTGTTTGTTGTTGTTGTTGTTTGTTTGTTTTAATTTTCAGAGACACAGTCTTGCTGTCACCCAGGCTGGAGTGCAGTGGCACAATCATAGCTCACCACAGCCTCAACCTCCTAGGCTCAAGCAATTCTGCCTCAGCCTCCTGAGTAGCTGGGACTACAGGCATGCACCACTGCACCTGGCTAATTTTTTTTTATGTCTTGCCTCTGTGTTTCCTAGGCTGGTCTCAAACTTCTGGCCTAAAGCATTCCTCCCACCTTGGCCTCCCAAAGCCTTGGGATTATAGGCGTGAGCCACCACACCTGGCCCTCCATTTCTTAAACTTGCAATAATCTGGTGTGCTCCTTCATGCTGAAGGGCACTGTCGTGAAACTTCTGTGGAAAACTCCATGGAAATTGGATAAGCCTGTGCTCTCAAAACTCTCTTAACTTCTTGATGCAATGTGTAAACTTCATTTTAAAGAAAACTAGAGTGAAGAAAACAAACTTGCTTAATTTCTGAGTATTTTACATTCTAAGATGTCATGAAAATAATTATGTTTACTAAATATTGAAGGACCAAGTAATGATGCATGATGGTAAAAATGCTAATTTCTGTATGTTTGGATGTGAGCCCTCAAATAATTTTAAATTGAATAGGAAATTTTATAATATGATTGATTTTAGGTAAATCTACCACATTGTTAGCTTTTACAGAAAAGTCATCATATTGGTTTGCGTGGCCATAAAGGTACCTACCATGCCCTTATACTATTCTCACTTCCAGCAGAAAATGCTGCTTTTATAGGACACTCGTGAACCTCTCTGAACGCCTCTGGCTTTCTCACAGTCTCTGTGGGGACTCAAGTTCCTCACCTGGAATGCTCCTCAGCCAGCCCTCTAAGTCAGTCGAGCGGAAGGCCTGCTGCTCTTTGGGGTGCAGTGTGCAAAACTTCTCTGCTGCGGCGCTTTCTCTGACCTCAGCATATGCAGACACCCAACTCCCATGATTCTCTGTCTGGACCTCCTTTCTTGCTATTGATCTCATTGATTGTACCTTGTCCTTGTTTGTCTTCTCTCCTGGGCTAAGAGCTCCCTGGGACAGGGCTGCTTTGGTGTGCCTGATGCCTGACACATAGGAGGGACCCCAGGGCTTGTGGGAAAAAATGATCACAGAGCCAACTGTGTCCCTAAGTCTTTCAAGGGTATCTGCATATCACTGGTGCAGCCTTTCCACTGCAAGATCCCACTTTGCAAAATTTCCAAACAGGCAGTTAAAACCCTTCCTTCCTGCAGTAGGTCGCTTTGTTTTTGAATATTGATGACCTTCCGGGATTGATAGCTCACAATATGTAGGTCTCATGTTTTGTTGTCAGGTAAACAACAACATGTTGGGGATTCTGTCTGTGCACTCCTACTTGACTCCTGGCACATCTCACAGCACAGCCTGTGAACAAGCAGTTATGCCTGCTGTGTTCTCCATCTTAGCAGAATTCGATATTGTAGGAATAGGGAGCTTTACCTCGAGGGTTGTCAGATGCAATTGAGGATATAATTGTCAATAAACCTCTGATCTAAAGCCTAGCCATGATCAGCTGTTATAGTATTTTATGATGCCTCATAAATGATTAGGGGTGAAATGTGTTGAATCTCTCACTTCTGTTAATTACACACTCTAAGTTACAGTTGACAAGTCCCCATGTTGAAGCAGAGGCCAGAACTATAATTAGATCTTGGAAACTTAGTAACTCTGCTGCCTTTTCAAAGGAAAAGAGGAATGACAAATAGTTTTCCTACCCTAATTTTAAGACTCACTCTTTTCACCTGACACTTAAATTCTGAATTCTATTTAAGTTCTTTATGTGTGTTTCTATCTGATTTTCCAACTTCAGCCCTATCTGAGCTGTGAGAACTTGACTCCTGCACTTGGAGAGAGCCCACTGTGAGGATCTGCGGTTGCCGAGGGCTCCTTTTGCTGTTCACTGCATCTCCCGTCCCTTGTCGAAGTATAGGACTCAATGCCCACCTTTCTTTTCTTCCTTAAAAACCATAGTGTGCCAGAGAAACGCTAGATAATATTTAGTTTAACAAGAACCTATTTCTAATACTATCCATTGAAATGTCTATAATAGTAAAACCTTGAAGGGGCATAGCATATTTTACAACTTAAGGGTATTCTCACATTTAGAATTTAATTTAACCTTCAGAACAACCCATTGCAGTGGTCATAGCAGGTATTAGGCCCATCTTACAAATGAGGGGCCCGAGCCGCCCAGGCAAGGGGCTGGCCAAAGGCCAAACCCAGGGAGCAGGCAGCAGCCTTGGTTGCAGGTCCCTCTGCACAGCACAGTGGATGAGGAACTGGGATTTCTGTTGACTGGAATCTTTTTTTCCCCAACATTGTATTATGAAAATTTCAAATATTATGAAAATTTGTTTTAAGAACTACAAGCAGTTCTGATTTTAATTGGTATAGGAGTATTTTCCATTTAAAAAAAAATTTTTTTTTTTGAGACAGGGGCTCAGTGTGTCACCCTGGCAGGAGCACAGTGGTGCAATCATAGCTCACTGCAACCTCGAACTCCTGACCTCAAGCTGTCCTCCCACCTCAGCCTCTCAAGTAGCTGGGACTACAGGAGCACACCACCATGCCCAGTTAATTATTTTTATTTATTTATTTATTTATTTTGAGACAGAGTCTCACTCTGTCACCCAGGCTGGAGTGCAGTGGTGTGATCTCGGCTCACTGCAACCTCTGCCTCCCAGGTCCAAGCGATTTTCCTGCCTTAGCCTCCTGAGTAGCTGGGATTACAGGCATGCGCCACCATGCCCGGCTAATTTTTGTATTTTTAGTAGAGACAGGGTTTCACCATATTGGTCAGGCTGGTCTCGAACTCTTGACTTCATGATCTGCCCACCTCGGCCTCCCAAAGTGCTGGGATTACAGGCGTGAGCCACCACACCTGGCCACTAATTATTTTTTTTTAGAGATGGGCTCTCACTATTTTGCTCAGGCTTGTCTCAAACTCCTGGGCTCAAGTGATCCTCCTGCCTCAGCCTCCCAAAGTGCTGGAATTACAGGCATGCTCCACGGCACCCAGCTAGTACTAAATTATCTGGAGTGAGGGGTAAGCTTCTATCATCATTGTGAAACCATGTTTTGATTTTTTTTTTTTAAATCTTGCAAGTTTGGTAGCTTGCTTTTTTTGACTCTGCCTCCAGCAAATTGAATTCAGTAAATTAAAAGTATTACAGGTTGGAAGTACATGAGTGAAAATGCATGTCAATTGGCTTTCAGAATGCCCGTCACCGTCTACTTCTCAGCGGTTAAGGCAGTCTGGTACTGACATGTTGGTTAGATCTTTCTCTCGTTAAGGTGAGAAGGTGCCTGTGAGGCCTTCATGGGGAGGCTGTTCTCCACACTATGTGATTGGATCTGCCTTTCTAGCTGCAGCAGTTAGTGTATTCATTCTGGCGGCATTCCTGTGCTGTCTGCCAATAAACTATTGACCCACGCTAGCCCTCAGCTGTGCTACTCATCTCTACTTAGTCTTTGAGCAACAGTAGAAGAAAAATTTCATTATTCACTCATGAATTTTTCTTTAATCTGTAACTATGCAATTATTCTACTACTGGCTATCCTCTTTTCCTCTTTTTTATTTCCAGGAATAATTTTGGCTTTAAATGCTAGCCTGTTGCTCCAGACTTCTACCATATGTAGTTACATTTTAGGAAACGTCTAGTGGCCTGAAGTTTAGGCACAGAGTCTGGTGTTTGTTCACAGGGATCTTCTGTGGGGATGATACTTTACTCTGGTTTGTTCCATGGCTGGGTGACATTATACAGGTTTGTTCCATGGCTGGGTGACACTACACGGCAAAGGAATACTTGAGCTGGGCTTCAAGGAAACATTTAGCTATGTGGTCATTGTAGAAAGCACAGATGACAAACGGGGGCTGAGTGTAAGTATCCACAAGTGATCACGGGTCAAGGCCTGAGGGCAACGCAGGGGCAGGCTGGGTTGCCATGCATTGTCCATGGGGCAGCATGAGAGGCTGTCCTAGGAGGCTGTTGCCAGGAAGTATGTGCTTGGTCCAGACTTCCCAGGTTCTCGTCAAAGACCAGACAGCAACCTGGACACAGAGGAACTCCTCAGTTCTTCTGAAATCCTGAAGCTCTAAAACAATGAAACAGAAATGGATGCAGCAGCTGTCATAGGTATTAGTCAATACCTAAGTGTTAAGAACAGTAAAACATTAACTAATAGCGATGTTAATTTTCACAAAATAGTCATCTTTTTTTTTTTTTTTTTTTTTGGGAGATGGAGTTTTGCTCTTGTTGCATAGGCTGGAGTGCAGTGGTGTGATCTTGGCTCACTGCCACCTCCGCCTCCTGGGTTCAAGTGATTTTCCTGCCTCAGCCTCCTGAGTACAGGTGCCTGCCACTACGCCCGGCCAATTTTTGTATTTTTAGTAGAGACAGGGTTTCACCATGTTGGCCAGGCTGGTCTCGAACTCCTGACCTCAAGTGATCCACCTCGGCCTCTCAAAGTGCTGGGATTACAGGTGTGAGCCACCCGACATGACCAAAATAGTCATCCTTAACTGGTTTGGACCATCTTTCATTAGTAAAATCAAAAGCATATGTGCACAGTAAAATTCCTAGCTGCAGACGCAGGCTCACCTCCCACAGCCAACCCCTTAGCCCCTTGAACTGCTCGCATGAGGACCTCAGACACACTTCTCTAAACACCCCTTTTCATATGAAAATACTGGAGGCAGAGTGTCCTTCCATTTGTGGGTTTCTATTTTTATTTTTGAGACAGGATCTCAGTCTGTCACCCAGCCTGGAGTGCAGTGGTGCGATCACAGCTCACTGCAGCCTCAACCTCCGGGGCTCAAGCAATCCTCTTACCTCAAGCCTCCCAAGTAGCTGGGACCGCAGTTGTGCACTGCCATGTCTGGCTAATGTTTTGTTTTGTAGAGATGGAATTTCGCTATGCTTCCCAGGCCAGTCTTGAATTCCTGGGCTCTAGCAATCCTCCCGCCTCGGCCTCCCAAAGTATTGGGATTATAGGCGTGAACCACGACACCTGACCCATTTGTGTTCTTAGCATGCTTTGAGACTGTTCCACGCTTTCCTTTTTTGAATTTCCCCCCTGCCAAGGTCCAGCTTATGACTAGAGGCAGGCAGTGTGGATGTGACACAGTCTGATCCGTGTCCTGCACCATGTGAACACCTTTGTTGAGTGTATCTGCACATATGGATGTATCAGAAAACTTTTAGGAGCAAAATTGCTAAATCAAAGGCATACTCTTTAAATATCAATAAAGGTACATTGCCCTCTGAAGAACTTGACCAATTTACACTCCCACTTACAGAGCAGGAAGCCCAACCATTTAAAATGCACAACTTTTTAAAAGAGATTTATGGTTTATATTTTTATTGTAATATTGGCCATCAATTTTATGGTAGCCATGAAGACTGTGTCCTTTTATTCTACAAGTAGCAGTCACACAGGCTTCTGGAGCGTCGCATTATGACGTACACGTCATGGGAATCCCCGGTGACAGTCCCTGCTGTGGAAGAAAGTGGAGCAGAACCTGGGTCCAGAACAAGGGCAAGATGAAGTCAGACCTAGGGCTTTTGGAAATGCTGGATGAGCATCAGCAGCAGTCTGAAGATGCTGTACTGTGTATTTTATTGTGGGTTAACAGAATCATGTCAAAATTCTGTTCCTAGAAAAAGTTCATTGTTTTGGTGAAAATCCAGGATTTATACCTTATCATCCAAAAATTGCATGCAGAGTTTTAAATATTGTAATGTGCCAGAGCCCCATTCCAGACCAGCAGGCAGTGGAGGGGCCCCGCGCTGTTCTCCTCTCCGCTGCCAGACAGTGGCCTCCTGAGTGGGAAGCTCCGAGCAAGAGCCCAAAGAACATTCACTTACAGGACCTCCCAGGTGGCTCAGTTATTAGTCTAGCTTAAGAATCACACAGCTGAGAATCTTCAGTGGGAGGGCATATCTTTGAAGAGTGGGTGTTTGTATCTGTTTCTCTTTTGTTTTCTCTAGGATTATTTTTTAATGGCTAATGCATTCTTAATGGTTTAAAAATCAAAGCCGCATGAGAAGGTGAACACTGAAGGCTCCCTGCCCATCCCATCACTCCATTTCTTCCTCTAGCCCTGCAGGTAACCACTAGTTAGTTTGTGAATCCTCCCAGAGGTTCTTAATGTAGATACAGATATTTTTATTAGCCTTCCCTTTCTTAAAAGATAACATGTTACATACACCATCTTTTGTACACCTAAACTCTATCTTGGAGCTTTTCCACTTCTCAGTACATTGAGAGCTTTCTCATTAAAGGCTGCATAGGGTTCCATTTTGTGGAAATAATGTTTTCTTTAGCCAGTTTCTTATTGATGAACTGGGTCATTTCCAATTGGGTCATTTCTAGTTCTCTTTTGAGGTAATTGCAAAATAATTTAGTTAAACAGCATCCTTAATTTTTGTTTTCACTGATATGCTCCTCTCATTTATCAGAAAAGGTAATAATTTTCCTTCCAATTTAGGCCTTTCCCTATACATTGGCAGGAACCATTTAGAAAATTTGATGGAAGTAGGGAGCAAATCCAACAAGAGGTGTGCAAGACTTTTTATTCATGAAAACTTTAAATCCTGCTGAAATAAATATAGGAAGACCGACCTAAATGGAGACATACTATATTTGGGGATAAAAAGACTCAATATTAGAAAGCTGTTAATCTTCCAAAATTAGTAAATTCAGTGCAGTTTAATGAAACTGCCAAATGGAATTAAAAATAGAATTTGACATGCTCATTTTAAAGTTCATATTTAGAAAATAACCAAGAAAAGAGAACAAGGTGGGCATGTGGAGACTTGGCCTCCCAGATATAAAATAAACTGCAAAACTTATTTTGCAGTTTAAAAGAATATAGTGAGCTCAGGTTTGTCCAAACTGATCCACAGAAGAGCAGCATCTAGAAACCTTCCCATGTATCTAAGAAACCTTCCCAAGAATTTTTTTTTTAAATGATGTAACACTTTATATCAGTAAGGACTGTTCACAGATGGTGTTAAACCCATCTGCTACCCATTTGATTAAAAAAGGAAGGTTGGGCCAGGCAGGGTGGCTCACGCCTGTAATCTCAGTAGTTTGGGAGGCTGAGGCCAGCAGATGGCTTGAGCCCAGGAATTCGAGACCAGCCTGGGCAACATGGCAAAACCCCATCTCTACAAAAAATGCAAAAATTAGCCAGGCGTGGTAGTTCATGCTTGTAGTTCCAGTGATGGGGAGGCTGAGGTGGGAGGATCACATGAGCCCAGGGAGGTCGAGGCTGCAGTGAGCTGTGATCACACCACTCCACTCCAGCCTGGGCAACAGAGTGAGACTTAGTCTCAAAAAAAAGGGAAGGTTGAATTTTTACTTCATATTCAAAAAAATTAACTTCAGTTGGATTAAAGAGCTAAAACTAGAAGCAAAGTTTTTCTTCTAAAACATTGGAAGACAATATTGCATTTTTTATAATCAAAGGGTCTTTCTGAAAGTGACACAAAGTCCCCCATCTGTAAGGGAAAAGTTTGAGATTTGAGTATGCAAATTGGTATTTTCCATAAGACAAAAGAAAGCATAAAGGAAAGCAATGAGCTGTATAAAATATTCACAAAATATCTATCCGAAGATGTATATCAGATATATAGAGAGACCCTAACAAGATCAGTAAGACAGAAAGAAACTCACTTAAAAAAAGTCAGTGCGCTTTTCTACATTTTTTTCCAAAATAAAGGATTGGCAAAGCACATAAGCAGACCATTCATCAAAGAAGTAAAGATGACTGATTAATAAGAAAAAGATGGTAACATCACTAATAATCAGTAAGGCCAGGCACAGTTCATGCCTGACTTTGGGATCCCTTGAACCCAGGAGTTCGAGACCATCCTGGGCAAAATGGCGAAACCCCATCTCTACAAAAAATACAAAAATTAGCTGGGCGTGATGGCACGTGCCTGTAGTCCCAGCCGCTTGGGGGGCTGAGGTGAGAGGATCACTTGAGCCCAGGAGTTCAAGGCTGCAGTGAGCCGTGTTTGCGCCACTGCCCTCTAGCCTGAGTGACAAAGTGAGACCCTATTAAAAAAAAAATCAGTAAAATGTAAATCCTTGCATTCCTGATGTTGATACGCATGGCTTCTTTTTTAAAAACGTTCAGTCTTACTAGAGGTTTCTCAATAATTTTTTCGAAGCAACAGCTCCCGGCTTCATTCATATTCCATTTTTGTTTTCAATTTCATTGATGTCTGCTTTTTGTCTTCCTTTGTTCTGCTAGTTGTGGGTTCATTTTACTTATCGTTTTCTGTTACTGTGGATGCTCAGATTATTGATCTGAAACCTTCTTTCATAATAAAAGCACTCAATGCAATAAATTTCCCTCTAAGCACTGCATTATCTGTGCCCACGTATTTTAATATGCTATAATTTCACTTTTCTTCCCTTTAAAATATGTTCTGATTTCTCTTGAGAATTCCTCTTTGGTGATTTATTTATGACTATGTTGTTTAACTTCCAGGCAATTTCAGATTCTCCTGTTATCCTTCTATTACTGAATTTTAGTTCAATTCCATTATGGTCAGAAACATACTTTGTATGATTTCAGTTATTTTACATTCATTAAAGTTTATTTTATAAACCAGGATATGGTCTTAGAGATATGTTCCACGTGGCCTTGGAAGAATATATGTATTACGCTGTTGTTGGGTGGAGTGCTATAAATGTCAGTTACAGCCACTTGATTAATGATACTCAGTTCTTCCATCTTGGCTAGTTTTCTATTAGTTCTATTACTGTTAGGAGTATTGAAGTCTTCAACTGTAATGGTGAATTTGTCTAGTTCTCCTTTCAGTTGTCAGATTTCCTTCACATATTTTGCCTCAGCACAATCTTCTTTGTCATGTTAGCCTTTTTCCAGTAATTCACCTGTCCACCATAGCCATCTGCTTCCTGTCATAACCCTGCTTTCCCTGGGCGTATGGAGAATCCTATGTTCTATTGTTCCATACTGTCTCACTTTTTAGGGATTATGCTTGCCTCACTTACAGTAAGTCCAGCAGGTTTTAGAGAGTGTCGCTATGCTTGTGCACTGTGGACACAGAAGCTCATACACGGTGAAGTTCTGCTGCCAGGTGCGTACACCTTTAAACATGCTGCGTCTTCTTGGTGAATTGACCCTTTTATATAAAAACCCTCTTTATCTCTGGTAATTTCCTTTGCTCTGAAATCAACTTTGCTATTGCTTTCTTTTTTGATTAGCGTTTTTATGGTCCTTTTTCATTATTTTTATTTTTTTTGAGACAGAGTCGCCCAGGCTGGAGTGCAGTGGCGCGATCTCAGCTCACTGCAACCTCCACCTCCCAGGTTCAACCAATTCTCATGCCTCAGCCTCCTGAGTAGCTGGGATTACAGGCATGTGCCACCACACCAGGCTAATTTTTGTATTTGTTTTTGTTGTTGTAGAGACAGGGTTTCACTATATTGACCAGGCTGGTCTTGAACACCTGGCCTCAAGTGATCGACCCTCCTCAGCCTCCCAAAGTGCTGGGATTATAGGCGTGAGCCACCATGCCCGGCCTGGTCCATCTTTTTCTGTCCTTTACTATTAACCTACTCATATGGTTGCATTTAAAATGAATTTGTTGTAGACATCATATAGCTGAATCATGTTACTGTCTTTTAATTGGTGTGTTTACACTATTTACATTTAATGTAGTTACTAATGTGTGTGGTTTCTGTTTGTTCTCTGTTTTTTGTTCTTTGGTTCCCCCTTCTGTTTTCTTCTGGGTTATTTGAACTTTTTGTTGTTGTGGTGGTGGTGGTGGTGGTTGTTGTTGAGATGGAGTCTCGCCCTGTCGCCCAGGCCGGAGTGCAGTGGTGCGATCTTGGCTCACTGCAACTACCGCCTTCTGGGTTCTGGGTTCAAGTGATTCTCCTGCCTCAGCCTCCTGAGTAGCTGAGACTACAGGCACCTGCCACCATACCCGGCTAGTTTTGTATTTTTAGTAGAGACAGGGTTTCACCACGTTGGCCAGGCTGGTCTTGAACTCCTCACCTCAGATGATCCACCTGCCTGGGCCTCCCAAAGTCTTGGGATTAACAGGCGTGAGCCACTGCACCCGGCGCATTTGAACATGTTTAGTATTCCATTTTATCTGTTATGATTTTGACTATATCTTTGTATAAAGTTTTGAAAGGAAAACAGCCTATTTAGAACCGTTTTTGTCACTTAAATATGCTTGGAATACAGAAACCTTCCCACCATGTGGGTCCCTTTACTCGCCCCTCTTTCTGTTACAGTTGTCTTATATATTGCATCTACATAGGTTGGAAACCCTATCAGATGATGTTATATTTTTTGCTTTCAACAATCAAACATGTTATAAAAACTCAAGAGGAGACTAGTCTATTCTATTTTACCCAGATAGTTGCCATTTTGGTTGCTTTTCTTCATTCCTGATGTTGCAGGTTTCCTTTTGGTGCTGTTTGTCTCTGAAGGACCAGCTGCCTGTGCAGTTCCTTTGAGCGGGTCAGCTGCTGCCATTCCTCTCTGTTTTCATGCATCTGACAATGTCTTTATTTCACTTTCATTCCTGAGGGATACCTCATTGGCTAGGAATTCTGAATTGACAGTTATTTTCTTTCAGCACTTTAAAAAATGGGCCACTTCCTTCTGACCTCCTCGGTTTCTGATGAAAATTCCGACGTCACTCAAATTGTTGTTTCCCTACAGGTAATGTGTCATTTTTCTCTGGCTGTTTTCAAGATGTCTTTTAGTTTTCAGCAGTTTATGATGTGTCTGGGCATTGACTTCTTTGAATTTATCCTGTTTAGGATTTACTCAGCTTCTTGAATCTGTAAGATTTCACCCATCTTGGGAATTTTTCAGCCATTAATTATACAGATGGTTGTAAAGCACTGCATTTTTTTTTTTTTTTTTTTTTTGAGACGGAGTCTCGCTCTGTCACCCAGGCTGGAGTGCAATGGCACAATCTTGGCTTACTGCAATCTCCACCTCCCGGGTTCAAACGATTCTCCTGTCTCAGCCTCCCGCATAGCTGGGATTACAGGTGCCCACCACCATGCCCAGCTAATTTTTGTATTTTTAGTAGAGACAGGGTTTGGCATGTTGGCCAGGCTGGTCTTGAACTCCTGACCTCATGATCCACCCGCCTCGGCCTCCCAAAGTGCTGAGATTACAGGCATGAGCCACCACACCCGGCCAGCACTGCACTCTCTTTTATCCATCTGTGACATGACTGTGAGACCTGTCAGTATCATCCCACAGGTCCCTGAAAGTCTGTTCATTTTTCAGTGACTTTTCTATTCATATTGGATGATTTTATCAATCTGTCTTTCTCTTGTCATCTCCATTCCATTGAGTCTATCCAGTGAATTTTTAAAATGTTATAGTATTTTTCAGTTCTAATATTTTCCTTTGGTTCTGCTTTATATCATCTATTTCTTTACTGATAATTTCTATTTTAATATGTTTCAGGAGTGATTGCTTCTCTGAGCTTTTTATTATTAACTACTTTAAAGTCTATAATGGCTTCTGTTGTCTTTTCCCATTAGAATTATTTTCATGGTTCTTTATATGCTGAATAATTCGGGATTGTATTCTAGATATTTGAATGTTACATGAGGAGACGCGGCTTTTAAGTAAGTCCTATAGAAAATGTTGATACTATTGTTTTATTATAGCAGGAAATTGATCTGGTGAGGCTCAGGCCGAAAACTCCAACCTTCTGTGAGTTTTGGTCCCAATGTCACTTCAGTTTTCAAAGCTTTTGCAGTGCTATTTGGATTCATCCCATATGGGCCCCATCTTGTGGTCTGAGGCCTGACAGGGCTCACCT
The DNA here is from genome assembly GCF_000001405.40 of Homo sapiens. Classification (NCBI taxonomy): domain Eukaryota; kingdom Metazoa; phylum Chordata; class Mammalia; order Primates; family Hominidae; genus Homo; species Homo sapiens. The sequence continues at coordinate 229,319,495 of NC_000001.11, forward strand.
GCAAGCTCGGTTCTCTGCTGTCTTTGATATGGACTTAGGATCAGCTCTACCCATAAGCACTGTGAACATGTGAGTAGGTGGGGAAGGGCTAGTGTTCATAAAAAACTTTGTGGAGTCACTTTCTTAAGCTCTTCTCTCTCTGCTCTCTCCCTAGCACTTTCTAGTTCCCTGGGGCTCCCCTTTTTTGGTCCTGTGGCCCAAAATTGCCCACTTCTGCAATTAAGCCATATCCTTCAGAGAGGAAAAAAAGCGCATCAGCTCAGCCCCGCGCTCTTGGTGATGCAGCTGTACTTGGTGGAGATGTGCGAGGCTGTCCCTCAGGCTTCCGACTCCTGCAGGCTCCCACTGGCAGCCAGGGGGTGACCTGGGAGCTTCAGCACGAAAAAATGGGGAAAAGGAGAGGTAAGAGGGGCATTTCCCCCACTCTCTGAGCTTCAGCTCTTCCTTCCCCTCCTGTCCCTCGAGCCAGGCTGCTTCTGGATCTCCGCACCACGGTACTTACTTCTGTGTTTTGGCCTGTGTTAAGGCTGGATGATACATGAAGAAGAAAAAAGGAAGACTCACCACCACTTTAGTGGTCCTTAGAAGTCTAGTGTACCCAATCTGTGCGTTGCTATTTACTTTTCAGAGTCCTCAAATAGCTGTGTGACACAGTCCGTCCATATTTTATAGATGTGTTCAGTAAGAACAAAGTGGGGGAAATGGGTGCTTCCTCCATCTTCCTGGAACTAGAATCTTCCCTAAGATATTAAGGGAAAAAAAAGTGGAGAATGTCTATTGCATTATCCAATATTTGTGCAAAAACAAATGTGTGCATGTATCTCCATAGATAAATGCTTAGAAAAAAGGTCTGCAAGTTTACACACAAAACTTAAAAATGGTTTATTCTAAGAAGAGGAGTAGAATTTCGATGAGCAGGGAACTTTCACTTTTAACTCTATACCTTTTTTTTTTTTTTTTTTTTTTGAGACGGAGTTTTGCTCTGTCGCCCAGGCTGGAGTGCAATGGCATGATCTCGGCTCACTGCAACCTCTGCCTTCCGGGTTCAAGCGATTCTCCTGCCTCAGCCTCCCGAGTAACTGGGATTACAGGCACGTGCCATCACACCCGGCTAATTTTTGTATTTTTAGTAAAGACGGGGTTTAACCATATTGGCCAGGCTGGTCACAAACTCCTGACCTCAAGTGATCTGCCTGCCTCGGCCTCCCAAAGTGCTGGGATTCCAGGCGTGAGCCACCACACCCAGCCAACTCTATACTTCTTTTTGAGTTATTTTAACCATGCACTATTACTTTTGTAACTTTCAAAACCATAAGAAGATGTGATGGAAAAGACTGGGAAAAATTATAGCTCAACTCAAAGTGTATATACACTATTTATCTTTTCCCGGACATAACTAATGTGTCTTGTTAAACATTTATCTACTGAAAAATCCATTTAGGAGTCAATATGATCATACATTTTCTTCAAGTCATTTATGTACTAAGCAGAATTACTTCTCACAAAAGAGTCTCAGCTTGTAATGTTAATTAACTTTATTCACATTTTTCCAAGTAAATACAATATTAACTATAAGCTAAAAACAATACATAGTTCTTAGAAAATACAACCCCGAATTATTGTGTGGCCTGGGCTTTGTGATTATGTGCCCAGCCTTTGTTCCTCCAGAATTTTAAAGTGAATGCAGTGCTCAAAACAAACTTACGATAGCACAGGGAAACCTTCCCTAAATAAAGTTTTGTTATTAGAAGAGAAATCCAAAAAGAGGCCTCTACTGCCTTCATTCAAGTGTCGAGAATTTCAAAATGGAAATAATATTAAAAGAGCAATCGATTTTTTTCCATCTCACACTAGTAGGCTTGAAGGAGGCAAATTTGGACCAAAAATCTAGACATAGCTCCTTGCATAGGGTTTGATATTAAGCACACACTTGCACTGAATAACTCCATATCCACCCTATAGTACAAAAATTCATTTCAAATGCAAACGTTGTGCAATGACCAGGTCATATTTTTAAGATCACTCTTTAAAATATCATTTTACTGATCACAAAATTATATAATAAGGATCTTATATGGGTTAGGTATTAAGTTTGATACCAAAGCAACTATAGCATCAAGCTACATAAATATTAGCACCATTTTTTATCTAGTCCAGTGAAATGTAAAACTATCCATCAAACTGTTTTTTACCAAAGCAGTCAACAAGAAAAATTGTTTTACTTCTGATATATGCTTTGCTCCTCCTCCTCTTTGCTAGTAATACTTTTGAACACTTTAAAGAAAGTACAGTCGGCCCTCTGTATCCGTGAGTTCTGCATCCATGGATTCAACCAAATACAAATTGAAAATATTTGGGGGCAAAAAGGATGGTTTCACTTGTGCTGAACATGTACAGGCTTTTTTTTCCTTGTCATTATTCCCTAAACAATATAGTATAACAACTATTTACAGAGCATTTACATTGTATTAGGTATTTTAAGTAATCTAGAGATGATTTAAAGCATACAGGAGGATGTGTCTAGGATATATGCAAATACTACACCATTTTATAGAAGGGGTTTGAGTATCCATGGAGTTTGGCATCCTAAGGGAGGCCTGGAACCAATGCCCCATGGATACTGAGAGGCGACTGTACCATAACATTCCATTTACAAAGTGTGTGCCCAGAACAGCATTATCAACCTGAAAAAGGATAGTGGAAGACCCTACAGATTTTTTTTAACTTACGAATTGTGCAGAATTATCTTCTGGAAGTTATGGCTTCCAATAACAGCCATCTTGCTTGCTCTCGTTCTTACAATTTAGTCAGCTGAGTTCAAGTGACCCAAGTATAAATACCCTTCAAGTTGCTAGCAATTGATCTTCGATGAAACACAATGACAAAGATATTACATATGAAATGGTATAAATATGTGCCTCCTACCTAATACGCAAGTAAGATCACCTATAGCCTATTATACATTTATTCATTTTTAAAATGAATCTTTTGAAGATCCATTTATTCACATTTTTCCAAGTAAATAGAATATTAACTATAACTACTAACTATAATCTTTTAAAGATTCATTTTAAAAGTGAATAAATGTGCTTAGAAATTTTAGGGGGGAGAACACACATAACATACATATAACCAGAGGTGCCAAGTATTTTAACATCTCCTAACTAAGGGCAGTTAAAAGACAAAGAATCGATTCCTGTTCACTTCTCCTCCCGCGGACTTAATGTCCAGCAGAGTGCTAGACAATATTGCTTCAATATTCTATTACTTTAATATTAAAAGCAGTAACAAAATCAAAAAGCATATTTATGACATTGTTTTAATTAAGTTAAAATCAAAATTTTAAAAAGAGTTTTATGTAGCATTTATTTTAAATATCATTGGGTTCTCTGTTTCAGACTTTTTCAACATGAAAGGTAATTTTTAAACTGTCTCACTGTCTTGCAGGTTGTCCCAAGAATTAGGAACATGATTACAACCACATTCATTTCTAGAATGAAAAGAAAGAATTAGGACCATCAGACTGTTAACAACTATCAAATTTTCACAGGTTCAAAAGGTAATTGACACTCTTTAAAAAAGAAAGAAAAGAAACCCTAACCAACTAAGGACTTGGATGTAAGATGAAGGCTTACAATTCATACTGATTTATTAACCATTCATGCACTTTAAAAGCACTTTAAAAATCCCGTTCATTTGTCTTCCACTTAAAAAGAGGAAAAAATTGGCCAATATTTGCCTTCTACATTATATCTCTGTCTGGAGTTTTAAGTAGTAAGTACATTAAATATAAGTTTGTTTTCTAAACAAGAGAAAAGTCTGGCGGTTCAAAGTCTAGAGGAAGTCGGGTTTCTAAGGCAGTCCGTCAGTGTGGGGCCTGCACCACTCTCTAAGGCCGTCTTTCCTAGATTGTCAGCTGCAACACAAGCCTGAGCTGGATGACTAACACCGAACATGCAAGAAGCGACTTTAAAGGAACAGTTTTCACAATCAGCTAGCTACACCATCACAAATTGCCACATTAAGGTGATCTTTAGGTACCTGTGTCGTTTAAAGACTTTAATAATAGTTAATACCAAAATTCACCAGTTACTAGCAAGGCTGTTTTGGACAACATGTAAAATTTCCTCTTTTGAAATATACATCTCAATGATTAGGAGAGATCTGTAAGGAAACAAATTCACCTCAAAACTATGCAAATATTTAAAAAGTTTTTTTAAGCTCACAATACTTCAGTATGTGTTTTCAAAGCTTAAACAGTTATCATGTGTGAAGAGTTTATGGGGAATGAAAGCAATATGTTCTAAAAATTGACTATGGTTTTCCAAAGACCCAGAGAAAAATACTAAGGTAATACTCAGCCTCACGTCCACTCACACATCTTCGGGTGCCAAGCTGGCATAGGCAGAGCACCATTATCTCTTATAAGGAACTTAGCACATATCCTTCTAGCAGATTCTTGTCTCCACAGGATGGAGAAGACATCATTCATTTGATGGAAACCAGTGTTTGTTAAAACCATTTTTCTACCCCCAAAGCAAACATACTAAAGAGAAGGAGCACTATTTACATAAATTTGTGCCTACCCACACACCACCATTCTCTCCCATTAAAGTGTAGATAAGATCTACTGGCTAGGAATCAAAGAGTAACGTATTTCAACCTAAAGTTTGAATACTGTACATCATCAAGACTTTGTTATTGTTAAGTGCTATAAAGAAAAAGAGAAAGTAGGGGTGGGCAGTCTATCTAACAGGCATCTTCACACTGGTCCCCATCCCAGTGGAACAAGCAATGCCAATGTACCAAGTGCAATTCCAGATTGTAAGTTTGAAATGTCATTGCCAGCCATTACAGAAGAGGCAAAAGTCCACAGTGGGTGTATGCCAAAAGGTCAAGTGTGACAAGGGACTGAATCCACAGTATGTATTCTTTAAAAAAAAAAAAAAAGGCAATAAAAAAAGTGAGTCTTTGACTACTCAAAAGAAACTTTACTACTACTGTACACACATATTGTGTTGTGTGCACTTCGTCTATTGGAATGTACTTGAGCTATTAAACTATTAAATAATAACTGCCTAGATGATCACTGAAAGAGAAAAAGAGACCCTCGCCCAGCCCAGATAATTCTTAAATATCACAATCTACATAAAGATGCTGCTGAACTGAAATACAAATAAGTTAAAAATTTTCAGGAACTAGCAAAGTTCTACTTTCATTATACATGGAATCAGTAGTAGTGCTGACACTCATTTTTGACTTGATATTCTTTCACAAACAAAACGGCATATAAGGAAAACGAGTCTTATGCTGTAGGATGGAATGATCTTATAGCTATGGAATCTGGAAAGTTATTTAGAACAAGATGATAATAGGCTCTACCTAAGCTTATGAAAAGAATACTGAACTGTAAGCATCTGTTGCCATTTAAAGGCATTTGGTGTCAGTATCTTAAAAGATTAAGATGCTTTAAAACAAAAACCTTATAAGAATATCAAAGATTTAGGGAATTATCTTCATAAATAACCAAATGTCTATGGCTTCAACTGTCTGCCCTACTGCCGAGGTAGGTGACCAATATTCATCAAAATAAAACAATCTTTTACAAATTCCCTAAAAAAAACCTTGCATAATCAGTTGGTTTCTTAAACCTGTGTCCGTTTCTTTTGATGGTTTTTGTTTTGTTTTTCCTTTCAGTCATTTACACTTTTTAAAAGAGGCTGTCCACGCAAGTGTTTCTTTAAGCTCTTGCCGAATAGCACCTCATGTATTCTGTCATCCACGGGTTCTCTGAGGAGGAAGCCTTCATCTTTCTGTTCTTCTCCACATCCACAGAGTGAGCTCGCTGCCTTTGAGCAACCAGTTTCCTTTTTTCCACCTGTCTTCTGTTCTTGGCTCGTAATGCTGATTCATGAATCTAAAGAGAGTTCAAAATAAAGGATAGTAACTTAAGGGGCTATTATACTAATGTTCAACAGAGGTTGCAATGAAGCTGGCTACTGCCAGGTCAACTGCAGCAGGGCAGAGTCAAGCCCTGCCTCTCTATATAGTTCTTCTTTACATAAAACCTTCCACAGAAGAGCCATTCTCACTTGATGCTGTTCTCACTTGATTCATATCAGGGATAATGAAACTAAGCAACAGCAAATTAAATGTTAGACAGAAATGGTAAGCAACTAATTTGCATGTGCCTCTAGAGTTGGCTCTGGAAAACTGTCCGAACTGCTTAGCATTAAACATAAGTATTTAATTAACGACTTATAAACAGCTCATAAAAAGCAGGGAAAATAAAAGAACTTTAAATGTTTAACATCAGTATACCAAAGACATCTCGAGATTTTACCACCTAAGATGTCTTATACTACAGATAAATCCTGTTAAAATTAATCCCACGGACTTCTTAGAGATCTTTTGTTAAACGGCAGCTTTGTTGTCTCAAATATCACTCCAAATAACACCATTTGCTAGGGTTCAGATGTCTGTTCAGTGAAATTTTCATTATGCTGTTTATCTAGAACTCAAGCAGTTTGCAGTTTCACTTTCTGCTTCCTTAAACGCAGCCTTTGCTTTAGGCTATCATAACAGTATTAACGCTAACATACATGTTTTCTGACTACACACATGAAGGTCCTCTCATCTGAAATGTTTCCGGGTCTTGACACAGGAGAGACAAGCTAAGGCTAAGTCAGGGGAGGACTAAAGCTCCTGAGAGTAAAATGCATTTGTTATGGATGAACAGGGGAAATGCAGCCATTTGAATTTAATCAGAGGAACAAAAGGGAGTCTCTGGCAGATGCCAAGCAATCAATCAATCAGACAAACCAAAGATAAAGAAGCGCCAGGTTATCGAAGCTGAAGGAAGCTGAAACAGCTCAAGAGACCAGTGGCAAATCCAGATGGGCCGTCGCCAGCCTTGGCTGTGCTGCTCCTCCTAACCTTCCGGCCCCCCAGGAACTTGTGAACCCCAACTCCATCTACATCTTTGCCTGGCTTGGTGTCACTAAACTCTTCTGGGTAACTCCAAGCCAAAACCCCTCGCTCTGCAGGCCACCAACATGCAGAATCCTCCTTTGGTTCATCAGAGGCTCCATTCTGGAGTTCCCCAACCCACCATGCTATCCCCTAAGATCTCCCATGGGCCCAAAGCACCCAGTGGCCAAAGGACACGATGCCCGATGACAGGCGCATGGCCCAGCTGGCCACTCTCAAAGGGAACACAGAACCACAAGGGCCCAGAGCGCACCTCGTGCACAGGAGCGGACGCACAGACGTTGTGAGTCTTCTGGCTTCCTGTATCGGTCTGTTTTTCTCCCCAGCCATAAAGAGCAAATGGATGCTTGTTTTCTTTTATTTTACTCGATGATCTTTGGGGACTTTTGACCGCTTTCCTGTTTCCTCTAGCAAATAAGGCACTTGGTTGCTGTCGAGGCTCAGTACTGGTGGGTGATTTGTCAGTCTCTCTTGTTCTGGTTTGTTGTTCAGGTTTATCTTCTACATCTTTCACTGGCAGTGCTTTTGAAAAGAGATAAATGAGATGAAAATACTTTGAAATCAGATTTATATATAATTAAAATATTTATGTTGAAAAATCATAATGCTTAAGACAGTAACATTTTCACTTATGGCTCAACTCATACGATCCACTTAAAGTAGAAATACAGGAACAAGTTAGCATAATTTTCAAACCATTTATCTCATTTTAAAATCAACAACAAATATACCAAGATTGAACCAAGCTTATTCAAAAGCAACCACTGCTACTCCGATTCTGAGACTTAGCATCTGGAATGTTAAAAGATAGACAGCACCACACCCTAAGGGCTTTCTCCGCAATCCCCCAAGATAAATCCAATCATCTCAATTTTGCTTTCCTTCACGGAAAGATCTGGATTTGTGGTCATCCTCCAGCAGCTGCAGGAGGTTGCTGTTTGAGTTACTCCACCCGAAAATGCTCCTTAGTCCTTCCGTGCTCCTCCTGAGAGCCGCTTCCTTCATTCAAAAGCCCCTCCGCACAACAGGGAGTGATTTCCATCGTTACCGCCTAGGTGCGCAGCCAGGCATTCCCTGTGGGAAGAGTTAAAAATGAGGGCCCCGGCCGGGTGCGGTGGCTCACACCTGTAATCCCAGCACTTTGGGAGGCCGAGGCGAGCGGATCACGAGGTCAGGAGATCGAGACCATCCTGGCCAACATGGTGAAACCCCGTCTCTACTAAAATACAAAAAAAAAAATTAGGCATGGTGGTGCATGCCTGTAGTCCCAGCTACTCGGGAGACTGAGGCAGGGGAATCGCTTGAACCTGGGAGGTGGAGGTTGCAGTGAGCCCAGATTGCGCCACTGCACTCCAGCCTGGTGACAGAGAAAGACTCCGTCTCAAAAAAAAAAAAAAAAAAAAGAGGGCCCCAGTTTTAAGGGGCTTCCCCAACACTTGCAACGGAAATTACCCCATGAAATCAGGCCTGGGTCTGTACCACAGCCCTAAATTCTGGGGAACCCCCGGTGGTGAATGTGGCTGCCCCACCTAAGGGGAACCTCAGATAGCAAGGATGTACTCCAAAAAATATCTATTCCACTGAATTACCTTTTATGATTTTCCTGTTTATTATTTTGTAAGCCTTTCTTTTTATGAAATCAGTACGATTCAGTATAAACACTTTGTGAGCCTGTGTTTGCTTCCACCTATGGTTCTGCTGAAGTAAGAGTTCGTGACGGGTCTGGGGCTCCACCTGAGGTGCCCCAGTTGTTTAGGCCACAGGAGACCCTTTGTTTCAGATGCTCCAGAGTTTTGCTCTCAGTCATGATTTTATTTTTTTTGTTTCATTTTTTAGAGACAGGGTCTCACTTGTTGCCCAGGCTGGAGTGCAGTGGTGCGATCATGGCTTATTGCAGCCTCAACCTCCTGGGCTCAAGTGATCCTCCCACCTCAGCCTCCTAGGGAGGTGGGACTACAGGAGTGCATCACCATGCCCAGGCAATTTACAAAAAAATTTTTTTTGTAGAGATGGGTTCTTGCTATGTTGATCAGGCTGGTCTTAAACTCCTGGCCTCAAACAATCCTCCTGCCTCGGCCTCCCAAAGTGCTGGGATTACAGGCCTGAGCCACTGCACCCAGCCATCAGTGATGATTTTATAGATTGCTATTACAATCTATATAAGGTCTTATCACCTCTGTAGGACAGAATTTTGCCATTACTTTCAGTTGTGACTCTTGTCTATTTCTACTTCCCTTTAAAGTTGAGGGAACCGCTGCATGGGCAGTGCATGCAAACTGGCACATACTTGTAAGAAACCTTTATAGGTCATCTGCCACGTCTGCCTTCAGTGATGACCTTGACTCTAGCAAACCATTACATTTATTACTAAGCATTTGAAGGAACAGACGCTTCATGTCTGAATCCGGGTGTCATGTTCTGCATTGGAGTGCATCATCTCTTTAAACCCAGCACTGGAGTTGCTGGGGATGAGGCAGGACACCAGCCTTCCATTTCATGAGACGATATCCATTCACTGCTCAAACGTTTATCTGAGTGATGTGTCCACACGCTTTCTCCTCCTCTTCCCTGGTGTTTAAGAAGAGGAGGAAAGAAGAGATCATCAGGACCAAGACTAAAGGGAAAGAGAAGTGGGGAAGTGCAAGAACCTGTGCAGTGGCACAGTGATACTGAGAGAGAGAAAAAAGCAGCCACCCAAGTCATCTTCACTGATTCACTTCCCCTCTCTTCCTCCTGTTCCAGGCATGTCTAGCCCAGATCTCCCAGAGAAGCCTGCCCATAGAAGGCAATAAGGATTTCATTGATAGGACAATCTGGGGCTAGCCAGGCAGAGAACAGGAAAGAGAATTCCAGAAAGAGGGAATGGCTTCTTCAATGGCATGGAGAGAAGAAGAAAGAGGGAATTATAAATAGTTCAAAATAGCAAGAACATAGAGTCTATGGATGAAGGCCTGGGGTAGATAGTGTGGGGGAAATAAAGGCTTTATTTTATATATGCCAAACTCAGGCATTTTTATTTTATCTTGGAGATGAAGAATCATCATGGGAGGACATTAAGCTGAAAACTAACATGGTCCTATTTGTATTTTAGGAATGAGGCCCCTAGCTCCACACGTGGAAGATGGGTGAGATCAGAAATAGGGGCAGAGAGGCCAGTTAGAAAAACACACCGATCAGACCAGCTGGGAGGTGGTGCCAGGATGTTTTTTTAACAAGGCCCCTCCAGCCAGGTACGGTGGCTCAACCCTGTAATCCCAGCACTTTGGGAGGCCAACGAGGGTGGATCACCTGAGGTCTGGAGTTTGAGACCAGCCTGACCAATATGGTAAAGCCCTGTCTCTACTAAAAGTACAAAAATTAGCCAGACATGGTGGTACACGCCTGTGATCTCACCTATTTGGTAGGCTGAGGCAGGAGAATCGCTTGAACCCAGGAGGCGGTGGTTGCAGTGAGCCGAGATTGCACCATTGCACTCCACCCTGGGCAACAAGAGCAAAACTCCATCTCAAAAAAATAATAATAAATAAATAAAAACAAGGACCCTCCAAAGCAGACAGCCCAGCAACACTGCATCAGACTGACAGGTGGACAGACAACAAGGACCCTCCAGAGCAGACAGCCCAGCAACACTGCATCAGACTGACAGGTGGACAGACAGACAGACACCATGAGGACACCAGGAAGGACCATGTGGGCGCTCGGTTCTGTGGCTCCTGCAGGTGTTCTGAGTGGATGGTCATGCTGTCCTCTGACATAGGCCCCCTAAAGGATGAGGAAAGGGTGCTTGTCACGTTGGATGCAAGACACTCCTGGTCCCGGCAGCCAGACCTTCAACTGGAGCTCAGGAGAGAAGATGGCATGGAGATGAAAGCCACGGCTCCTGGTGTGGACCAAGTCACCCAGAAGAAACACAGAGCCGGAAGACAGGAGGTGCAAACAGGCCCGGGGACACCGTCATTTAATGCACAGGCAAAGAAAGGAGAACCCGAGATGGGAGCAGAGGAAGGGTAGCAAAAGAGTAAAAAAGAATAACCAGGAAAGAGGCTGAGCAAAGAGTTTCAGAAAAAGAAAGTGCAGGCCGGGCGCGGTGGCTCACGCCTATAATCCCAGCACTTTGGGAGGCCGAGGCGGGCGGATCACGAGGTCAGGAGATCTAGACCATCCTGGCTAACACGGTGAAACCTCGTCTCTAGTAAAAATACAAAAACTAATTAGCCGGGCGTGGTGGCAGGCGCCTGTAGTCCCAGCTACTTGGGAGGCTGAGGCAGGAGAATAGTGTGAACCCGGGAGGCGGAGCTTGCAGTGAGCCGAGATCGTGCCACTGCACTCCAGCCTGGGCAACTCCATCTAAAAAAAAAAAAAAAAAAGAAAATGCAATTAACAGTCCAAAAATTACAGAGAGATTGGTACAATAAAGATGAAGAGACTTTGCCTTGGCAGCTCGGTGGTCACTGGTGCCAGAGGGGAGGTGTGGGGTGGGGGAACCAGACCCCAGCTGGCTGAGGACTGAACAGAGTGGAGCCTACCCATCCTGGTTCTTGGGGGCTACTGGACTCACCCTCCCCACTAAGGATGACCTGGAAAAGCTAAATGAAATTCAAAAGTGACCCCAGGCTAACAAATGTCTATCAGGTACCCAACACAAAAACTAAAATCTTCTCAGGAAACCCTTAGACCTCAAATTATTCCTAGAAATAGCTTTTCCAACACAAAGACCAGTGTGTTGTAAAGATAACCGGCACACAGGAGGGTAGGCAACAAGGGGGACCGGGAGAAGCAAAAGGCCTGAAATCCAAGGAGTCTTATTCAGACTACAAAATAGCTGTGCTTATAGAAAAAGACAGAAGAATTATCTGCAACAGGAGGAGAGAAAAGATGGAAAATACAGAAAAGGTAAAACTCATCACCGTAACATTAATATTTATAAAACTCTTTTGTAAAACTCTTGAAATAGTGGCTGGCACAAGAGAAGTGTATATAAGTGTGGTATTATATACATGTGTGTGTCTCTGTGTGTGTTCGTTTTTGTCCATAGTTCGTGGCTCCTAACTCCCATAGCCCCTGTTCCAGTCTTTTGTTATAATGTTGGGTGTGTTAAACCTCAGGGGCAGGCCCCCAGAAACCGAATCTCTCCTGCTCTCCTTTCCCCTGCCACTAGGCAGGACTCTAATCTTCCACACCTTCCAATTGTAGCTAAGCTCAGGAGGTTCCTGGAGGCCGGCGAGACAGCATGGAAGCTTCTCACCCCTTTCCCCATATCTCACCCTGTTCATCTCTTCATCTGTGTCCTTTCTAATATCCTTTTATTATTATTATTATTATTATTATTATTATTATTATTATTATTTTGAGACAGAATGTTGCTCTGTTGCCCAGGCTGGAGTGCAATGGCGCGATCTCAGCTCACTGCAACCTCTGCCTCCCGAATAGCTGGGATTACAGGTGTGTGCTGGGCTCAAGCAATTCTCTCACCTCAGCCTCCCAAATAGCTGGGATTACAGGCGTGGGCCACAACACCCGGCTAATTTTTGTATTTTTAGTAGAGACGGGGTTTCATCATGTTGACCAGACTGGTCTTGAACTCCTGACTTCAGGTGATCCACCCGCCTCGGCCTCCCAAAGTGCTGGGATTACAGGCGTGAGCCACTGCGCCCGGCCTCTAGTATCCTTTATAATAAACTGGCAAACATTAAGTGTTTCCCTGAGTTCTATGAGCCACTCCAGCAAATTAATCAAACCTAAACGGGGATAATGGGAACCCCAGTTTGAAGTTGGTCAGCCAGAAGTTCCCAAGGCCTCGACTTTCGACTGGTGGGAAGGAGGGGGCAGTCTGTGAGACTGAGCCCTCAACCTGTGGGACCTGATGCTATCTCCAGGCAGACAGTGTCGGAACTGATTGCTTGTTTGCTGGTGGGAAAATAGCCCCACATATTTTGGGGCTATTTCAGAAGTCTGTGTTGATTGTTGTTGTGTGACAACAGAGGAAAGAGTTTGAGAGTTTTTTCCAAACAATAAGTGTATGTTTCTAAAATCCTGTTTGAAAAAATAGTTTAAAATAAAGACTTCTTCAAGCAAAAACAGCATTATCCACCAGTTATGGTGGAAGATTACAATGCCCCTTTCTTAGTAATTGGCAGAACATTCAAATAAAAATAAATTCAGTCTCAATTTAGAACTGGCCAGTCCAATACAATAGCCATGAACCACACGTGGTTACTAAATATAAATTTTAATTAATTAATTAAAAGTAAATAAAATTAAAGATTCAGTTCCTCAAGTTACACTAGTTATCGTTCAAGTGCTCAATACCCACATGTGGCTAGTGGCTACCCTGGCAGACAGCGCAAATGGAGAACACGCCCATCATCACAGAGAGAGCTGTACTGAACATCTGATTTTTCAAATGTATTTAAACAGAATTAATAAACTTGACCTAATGGATATATATAGAACACTGAACCCAACAACTGCAGAATGTAAATTTTTATCAATCATATATGGAACATTTATAAGAATCTGCATATCCAAGGCCATAAAGAAATCTTAAGATATTTACAAAATTGAAATTATATAGAATGTGTTCTCTAACCACAATGTAATTAAACTAGATACAACAAAAAAACTTCAAAAAATCCCTCCCAGTTTTGAAACTTAAAAACATTTCTAGGCCGGGCGCGGTGGCTCACGCCTATAATCCCAGCACTTTGGGAGGCCAAGGCGGGCAGATCACGAGGTCAGGAGATAGAGACCATCCTGGGTAACACGGTGAAACCCCGTCTCTACTAAAAATACAAAAAAATTAGCCGGGCGTGGTGTCAGGTGCCTGTAGTCCCAGCTACTCCGGAGGCAGAGGCAGGAGAATGGCGTGAACCCGGGAGGCGGAGCTTGCAGTGAGCCGAGATCGCGCCACTGCACTCCAGCCTGGGCGACAGAGCGAGACTCCATCGAAAAAAAAAAAAAAAAAAAAAATTTCTAAATAACCTATAGGTCAAAGTGAAAACAGGGTTGCACAAAAATGTGAAGGTACTTAATGCCACTGACCTGTACACTTCATTTATTTATTTATTTAGAAATGCTCCCAGCCAAACTGGACACTTTAAATCAGTTAAAGAAGGCCAGGCGCAGTGGCTCAAGCCTGTAATCCCAGCACTTTGGGAAGCTGAGGCGGGTGCATAGCCTGAACTCAGGAGTTCAAGACCAACCTGGGCAACATGAGGAAACCTCGTCTCTACTAAAAATACAAAAAATTAGCCAGGCATGGTTGTGTATGCCTGTGGGCCCAGCTACTCAGGAGGCTGGGGTGGGAGGATCACTTGAACCTGGGAGGCAGAGGTTGCAATGAGCCAAGATGGTGCCACTGCACTCCAGCCTGAGTGACAGAGTGAGATTCCATCTCAAAAAATAATAATAATAATTAACAAATAAATAATAAAATGGTTAAAATTGTAACGTGTATTTTATGTATTTCAGCACCATTTTCCAAAATTCCAAGTAGTGGTAATAGAGGGCATTCCTTTCTTAATTCTGATATTATTAGGAATGTTTCCAGTTTCCTCATTGAGCATAACGTTTGCATTAGGTTTTTTTGTTTGTTTGTTTGTTTTGAGAAACAGTCTCACTCTGTCACCCAGGCTGGAGTGCAATGGCACGATCTCAGCTCACTGTGACCTCCACCTCCTGGGTTCAGGTGGTTCTTGTGCCTCAGCCACCCAAATAGCTGGGATTACAGGCGCACGCCACCACACCCACCTAATTTTTGTATTTTTAGTAGAGATGGGGTTTTGCCATGTTGACCAGGCTGGAATATATGTTTTCTTTAAAAAATAAATATTTCCTTACGTGGATACTATACATAAATGTTAAATTTTATGATTTTTGTGACTATTTTAAAAAATCATAATGAAAATTTGAAAATGAGTTTGAATAAAAATGTTACATGGCAAAACATGCGTGATGCAGCTAAAGCAGTTATCAGAGGGAAATTTATAGCCTGAAATGAACATATCAAAAAAGAAAGGCAGGGGGCAAAAAAATCAATGATAAGCATCCATCTCAAAAAGTTAGAAAAAAGCAAAATAAACCCAAAGAAAATTAAAGTAAGGAAAAAATAATAAATTAATGAAAATATACAATAAAGAGAAACCACAAATCTTTAATGTGGGGAAAAACTAAACAAATTCACAAACCTCTGGCAAGTCTGATCAAGAAACAGAGAAGAAAGTAAAAATAAAAATCAGTTAAAAAAATATAGCAAATTGGAGGGTTCAGGTTAAATATGCACTAAAAACCTGTGCCTTATAGTTCCTTAAAGCTTATAGTCTCTTCCTCTCCAAATCCTACTAAAGGAAGGAAAAAAAGGTATAAAGCCACAAGGACAGAGAGCAAGGGAGGTGATGACATCAGGCAAAAGGCATCAATAAAATTTGGAGGAAAAGAAAAGCAACTGAAGAGGTAAAAATGGCCTCACAGAACTGAGTAGGATGAATCCTAACTGCCAGAGGGGAAAGGCCTCCAGGACAGAAGCTGAGCCCTAGAAAGAATCACATGAGCCAGATGTGGTGGCTCACGTCTATCATCCCAGCACTTTGGGAGGACAAGGCGGGAGGATTGCTTGAGCTCAGGAGTTTAAGACCAGCTAGGCAACATAGCAAGACCTCATCTCTAATAAAAATTAAAAATAAAAAAATAGCCAGGTATAATGACGCACACCTGTGGTCCCAGCTACTCACGAGGCTGAGGCTGGAGGATTGCTTGAACCCAGGAGGTCAATGCTACAGAGAGCTTAGATCATGCCATTGCACTCTAGCCTAGGCAACAGACTGAGACCCTGTCTCAAAAGAAAGAAAAAAAAAATGAAAGAGTTGTATGAGGTGCCAGCTTCGTCAGAAGGCTAGTGAAGTGGATTCTCTTTTCCAAAAGTTCAGCATCAATCAGCACCCCAGCCCTCGTGCTCTTCTGACTATAATATGGACGTGCTCTGTTGAGAGTTGGGATCCACGGGTCCTCCCCTTGAACCTGGGCAGACTTTTATATTAGGTTGGTGTCAAAATAATTGCACCAAGTAATAACTTCCCCAGTGAAGGTAAAATGGGGTGAGAAAGGGCCTGCAGAGCTCCTGAGGATAAAAGAGAAAAAGCAACGCAGCATCAACCTGGGTCTGTCTCCGGACGCTGTCCTTACAGGTCAGCTAGTGTGTTCTGAGGAAGGCCAGGCACAGGAAGAGGTCATGCATGTGAGGGTCCCAGCAACAGCCCAGCCGGGTCCCTCCAGCCTGGAGCCTTCCAGTACAGGCTGCAGACAAGGTATCTCACTGCCCAGGGCCAACTTCCAGCCCAGGAAACCAGAGCAGCAGCAAAGGAGGACAGCAGGCTGGGGGCCTCCGTATCCAGGGGTTCTGCATCTGCAGGCTCACTCAACCATGAATTGAAAATATTCGGGAAAAATAAATAAAAAATAATACAACAATAAAAAGTAATACAAATTAAAAATATAGTAGAAAAACTATTTACATAGTATTTAATTGTATTAGGTATTATAAGTAATCTAGAGATGATTTAAAGTATCCGAGGGATGTGCACAGGTTATATGCAAATACTACACCATTTTATATAGGGACTTGAATATCCACGGATTTTGGTATCCATGGGGGTATCTCGGATGCAATCTCTCCCAGATACCAAGGGACAACTGTTTTTACTAGTTTTAAGCTACTAATTTTCAAGGTAATTTTGTTACACAGCAATTGACACTTCTATATTCTTTCCCCTAGCTCATATGCCAGGTGGTCACTCCTCTCCTACCCAGAAGGTCTGTGGATTTCAGTCTTGAGCGGCAGAAGCAGGGGAGGCTTGGACTTCAGATGACCCTAGGGACAGGAGAAACCAAGGGAAACAGCTTCCTGAAAACAGAATTAGGTGAAAGGCCTCATGGTAAAGGAGACCCCTCCTCGGCACCTTCCTCCACCTCTGTTCCCAGGATGCTGGTGCCAGGCTTATTCCCCATGAGACAGGAGACTGCAGATGCACTGTCTGGGCAGCTCACTCAAGAGACGCTGGCAGGTATACATGTTTGCAGTCCCCAGAGGAACAGCTGGGTCCTCAGCCAATTACAGAAAACAGGCATCCCCCGTGCACAGACCTCCTAAAAAGCTCTTCCAGGCCTTACTCTTAAATATGAGCAGACAGGCTAAGAGCAAACATCTGAGTACATCCTCTATTAGTAAGGAAGAGACCAAAATTATGCAGAAAAAGGCAAGGCAGGGAATGGAAGACAGCTCTGAAAAGATATTTCTGGCCTTTTTCTTTTCTTTTCTTTTTTTCTTTGTAGGTTAAAAGAAATCTGAAAACAGAATGCTATTTTTTTTAATGTAAAGAACATTATGGACCAAAAATAGATGATCTCTTGGGAATTTAAAGCTAAGGTGAGAATTAAAAATTTCAATAGAAATGTTGGGAAATAACATTGAAGGGTTCTCCCAGAAAATAGAACCAAAAAGTCCAAATTCCATTGTAGAAACATTTTTAAGTAAAAATGTTAGGGGACTGATCCAGGAGGCACACCATCCAACTAAGGATAATTATAGAAAGAGAAAATAAAGCATATGGAGCAGAGAAAATTATTTTTAAACAGAAAAATAGGAAATATCACTGAACTGAAAGAACCTTCCAGAATGAAAAAGGCCAGCCAAATGAATGAAAAAAGACACACACAGGCACACCACAAAATTTCAGAACACCTCCTAAAAAGATATAAAGAATCTCCTAAAAGTTTCCAACAAAACAACAAAAACAAACATAGGGGGGTCACACACACAAAGCAGGTGTCAGAATGGCATGGTCCTTCTCAACACTATGACCTGAAGCTAGGATTCAGTGTTATCATAATGCCTCAAATGCTGAGGTTTCCAATCTAGACTAATCTACCTTGCCAAAATATCAATCCTGGATATAATAAAGGCATTTTCAGATATGCAAGGTTACAAAATTTCTAATTCCCACGCAATATTTTACAGGATCTATAGAGGATGTGTTCCATCAAAAGGAAGGAACAGGCCAAGCAAAAGGAAGACTTGAGATGTGCAAGGCAGGGGATCACACAAAGGAGGGAAATAATAAAGAAAGCCCAGTTCAGCAGCTGTGCCAAGGCTGGACAGCATAAAATCTAGACTGGAACAAGATCAAAGGCTCAAAAAAAAATATATATATATATATATATACACATACATATATATATATGTATATATATATGTGTGTGTGCGTGTCTCCAAGGGAAAAAAAAAATCAGATGAATAGAATACCTAATATGTCTGACAAATGGCAAGTTTCATAGTACTATCAGGCCATTTCAGGCATTAGTGATAGCTAAAATAAATAAGAAATAAGAAACTGTGATAGGCAGTGATAGGTAGCTTATTTTTTAATAAACCTATTACTGGAGTAGAAGCAAAAAACAAAAACAAAATAAGCAAACAAAAAAGTGGAACAATTATCAATTTCAGGAAAACCATAAATTTTAACAAAAAAATGTAATCAGAATATATTACATGGCTCACCTGCAAATATCTACACAGCCATAATTCAAACACAGAACAGAGATTAAACAAAGCAATCATATAGTTAATATTGTGGGGATATGGAGAAGAGGAAATGGGTGTTGGTATGTGTCTGGGGGTAGAATAGGGAAGGCAGAGCTAAGATCCTGAGCTAAATCTTCATCTCCCATAATGGGAAGTCAGTAGATAATGTTCACAATCAAAAAGCCAACAGATAAGATTAAATAAAAAGAGGGTGGCCAATGCTGAAAGGAAAGCGAAACTGAGTGAAAGGAGCAAGGGGCATGGGTGGGAAATGGGGCAGGATCATGTTTTTTTCATTTTAAGCAAAATGTTTTAAATTACTGCACATGTAAACTTTGCTAAAAATAAAATCTAACCTAAAAAGAAAACGTGACTATGAAGTAAGGAATCGGAGACAGTCTAGACCACTCTTCATAGCATATTGGCTATGGGAGGAAAAGAATCTCACGGTTCACAAGCACTTCCACCCCCAAACCCCAACACACACACACACACACACACACACACACACACACAGAATTTCCTAACAGCTTTTTAGTATCCATCCCTTAAATAAGAATGAGAAACGAAGGATCATTAGACATTTGAGAAAAGTGCCTAACATGAAAATAGAGAATTACCAGCAAAAAGAAACAAAGAGGCAGAAGTGAAAGATTGTGCTGAAGAAACACAGAAAGAGAAGAAAACAAACGAAAAATTCTAATATATATCCTCAGTAAGATAAAACCCTACATGCATCAATCAGGAACCAGATACTGTGTTGTAAAAAGAAATAAAAAGGGACGGAAAGGAGGGAGGTAAGGGAGGGAATAAATGGCAGCCCAGAAAACAATTCAAGAGCTCTTACATTTAAAAGAAAAATAGGATCCCTCAAATGGAAAATGTAATAAGAGATTTAGAAGATACAGCTGAGAGTATCACCCAGAAAACAAAACAATAAAAGATGAAAATCTGTCAAGAAAAAACTTAGAAAATTAGAGGATAAAATGATAAAGTCTAATATCCAACTAAGGACTTCAGAAAAAAAAGAAATGGGAAAAAAAAAAAAAACAGAAATAAGAAAATAATTCCAGAAAACTTCCGGGAATTAAAAACATGAGTTTGTCTATAAAGACCTGCCAAGTGCCCAGCAAAGCAAAGGAAAACAGATCTAGATCAAGGAAAAATGTCAGAACATAAAGGCCAAAGAGAAGACCGTGAAAGCTTCCTGAGGGCAACACATTACCTACAAAAGATCAAGATCAAGAATCATAACGAGGCAGGCTGTAACATCAGCAGTCATAACACATAAGGAGGAATGCCCCCAGAGTTTCTACGGACAACTGTTCCAACCTAGAATTCCATGCCCAGCCACACTCACCAAATTGTAAGGGTAGAATAAAGCTATCTCTTGGCATTCAAAGAAAGCTAACCTCTGAACCATCCTTTCTTGGGAATCTACTAGAAGATGTGCTCCACCAAGAAGGGGTAAACCAAGAAAGAAAATGACATGAAAGGCACACGACAGAGACTCAAACCCAAGAGAGAAGCCAAGAAAGGTCCTAGGAGGATGGCCAAGGGCCCTCCCAAGATGCCAGCCAGGCAGCAGCCCACAGGAGCAGCAGCCAGCCCAGACAGAAGTAGGTCAGGGGCCCTGGGAGAGGCATCTTAAGATGACAAGAGTGATAGTGAACCTGATGTGTTGGTTGTATTGTGAAAGAAAAAAGGGAATCATGGGAAATAGTATGGGTCAGCTTTGAGTAACTTTTTCCATGGGCACAATACGGTACATACTAATTATGAATCCAACAAACTCTATGAGGACTGTATTGTGCAGGTGTGGAGATGGGCCGTGTGTGTGTGGGTGAGGAGAGCAGTAAAAAAGAATTAAAGTCAATAGATAATGTTAAAAACTGAAAAAAAACAATCACATGTCAATAAAAGCCATGTTACTTGGAGATACAGAAATAAATACCAAAGGAAAAACCAGGGTGTTATGTATGGCATAGGGCTGATGTGCTTTTGTAATAAGTCAGACAGAACTACGTGATTCTATGTGCATCTATGGCTTCAGGGAAAGTAAAAAATTTTATATTTTATAGAAACTCAAAAGAGTGCTCATTGCACTAGTATTTAAAACCATCCACTTAAAAACCAGGATATTTAATCTTGTGCAAGCAACACAGGAGTCAAGAGGGCCTTACGGGTAGGAGCAAAACAAAAGATGCTGCGATTGAGTCCTGAAAGCAGAAAACATCCTTTCTTCTTCCTGATGCCTAAACCAGAAACGTTAGCAGGGAAGAAATAACTGAGAGGACGCTATATTTAAGGAAACCAAAATAATCATGAACTCAGAGCTTACCTGAGCTGGTAAATACAGGCACCATCCATATCACAACGCTGCCTAAAAATTGTATTTATATTGCATGCAAATATTTGACAACTCCATCACAAACAATAAAAGATCGGGGAGAGAAAAGCCATTTAGCCTGATAAAGTACATCTCAATTTAGCTAGCAGATCAGTACCCACAGGAATAATCTGGAAGGCATGTTCCCTACCCCCTCCACCTTCTGTTATTTGCATTTCTAGCAGTGATCACTGAAGCATCAGGATTTGTGGGGATTCACAAGTAACATCATGATGGGAGGAGGCAGCCCTGCCTCCGATGATGAGCTGAAAATAGCTGAAGATGGTAAAACCAAGAGCAAAGCAACCCGGCTCATAGCCGAAATTTCATCTCCTCCTCAGCCTCTCACAGAGAAGCCAGGAAGAGTCTGATTGGCTTGCAATCGGGTAAACAAAAATAAACACATAAATGAATAAAGTCACTGATCCTGAGCTTCCGTTTTTTCATCTATAAAACTGAGATTAGGGCCGGGCATGGTGGCTCACTCCTGTAATCCCAACACTTTGGGAGGCCGAGGCGGGCGGATCACGAGGTGAGGAGTTTGAGACCAGCCTGACCAACATGGTGAAACCCCGTCTCCACTAAAAATACAAAAATTAGCCGGGCGTGGTGGCGCGTGCCTGTAATCCCAGCTACTCGGGAGGCTGAGGCAGGAGAATGACGTGAATCCGGGAGGCAGAGGTTGCAGTGAGCCGAGATCGCGCCACTGCGCTCCAGCCTGGGCCACAGAGCGAGACTCCGTCTCAAAAAAAAAAAAAAAAAAAGATTACAACATGGTCTCTTTTGGGATTGTTTTGAATATTAAATGACAACATACATATTCCCAGATCAGTGACTGAATGTCTAACAGGCTCCCAATACATTTTCCATGTTTTCCTCACTCGAGCCTTTTTAAAATCCAGTGATCTGGAAGGAACCATTGGTTACTCCAGGCTGTACTGAGGCGTTCAACTGGGTCCCCAGCCCTGCAAGCCTCTGGGCAGGAAAGAAGGTGAAGGGGCCATGCCTTGAAAACACGCGCAGCGCCACCGGCGCTTTCGGATCTGGACAGGCGAGGGAGGATGGGGAGGGACGGAAGGGGAGAGGCCCTAGCACTTATAAAGATGCTCTCACAGCCAAGTTATTCAACACTCCACGTAAACAAATGCAAAATATTCTTTAGGGACAGCGTAGCGAGGTCGGGGAGTTAATACGGAAAACAATGGCCCCATTCATCAGACAAAGCTTAGCTCTGTGGTTCTTAACCTTTTGGGTTACCTTTGAGAATCTGATTAAAGCTGGGGCTCCTCTGATCAAAAATGGGCGCCTAGAAATAAGCAGATGGGACTCAGTGGTTCGCCAAGAAATAAGATGGGATTCAGAGGTTTGCCAAGCCGCAGAGGCCCGCGAGGAAAGACCCCAGACTCAGCCAGCGGCGCTTCAATTGAGTTCACCGCTGGCTCGACCGAAAGCCACCTAATTAAGGAAATAAAGGGTGGCAAAGGCTGCCACCTTCCCTATTTTGTCAAGAGAGACGGATTCTGTCAACCGAAAAAAAAAAAAGGAAGAGCCAGCCCCGAGTGGCGCAAGAAATAAGAGATCAGCTGCTCAGAGCTTAGAGCAAACCGTCCCTGCGTGCAGGCCCCTCGCGCTCCCCTCCGGGCCGGGTACCTGGCAGAGCCGCGTCCTCCGCGTCCTCGGCCTCCGCGTCCCCGGCCTCCGCGTCCTGCTCCTCCGGGGCCCCGCGCGCCCGCCGTTCCGCCTCCTCCTGGGTCGCCGGCTCTACGGGCGGCGGGGGCGAGGGCGGGGCGCACCGGGGTGCGGGGCCCCCGGCGCCCGACGACTCTGACGACGCCGAGTCCTCCGAGGAGCCGGCCGGGCCCCAGTCGTCCCAGAGCCAGGGCGCGTGCGCCTGCTCCAGCAGCCGGCGGCCTAGGCGGTAGTGCAGCAGCTCGCGGTAGCACGGCCCGTACTCCTCCCAGCGCGGCTCCTGGTAGCGCTTCATGTACTCGCTCTTCACCCCGCTCCCCGGGGACATGGTGCCGTCCGCCGCCTCGAGCGCCAGCCGCTCCTCGCTGCCCGCAGCCTACGGGACCCGGTACACGACACAGAGGCCGCCCCGCCCCTCCGCCGGCCCTGCCCGCCGCGACGTTTAAACCCGGAGCCCCGCCCGGACGGGAGCAGGGGGCGGGTCCCGGCGAGGGCGGGGAGGGGGCGGGGCGGGGGCGGCCTCACCCGGCGGCCGGGACCAAGAGCAGAGGCGGGGACCGGGGCTGCTGGGGTCGAGGGGCGCGCCGCCGAGGAGGGCTGCTCAGTGGGCGGAAGGCAGGGAGGCTGCGGGCTGGGGCGAGGGGACCGCAGGAGACTGGGGCTGAGCGGGAGGAGGAGCGAGGGAGGGGAGCGGCGGGGCCCGTGATCGGGTGGTCCTGGGGTCTCCGGAGGCGTCCCCTGAGCTAGGCGTGCGGTCCCGCGGGGCTGCCTTACCTCCTTCCCGCCGCGCCCGGCCGATCCTCTGCGCCCAGGCCCGAGGCGCGCGTGGCGCAGCAGCTAAAGCGCAGCTCGCTCTCCCGCGCGCTTTCCTCCTGAGCAAGATGTCGCCGCGGCGGCCCGCGCTCCAGCTGCAGGCGGGAGGCGGTGGCGCCGCCTCAGTCCCGGAGCCTCCACGCGCGCTCCCGGCCCCCGGGCCTCCGCCCGCTCCGTGGGGGCGGCTGCTTCCGTAGAGAGCGCGAGGCGCGGGGGTGCGGGCGTGCCTGCCAGTCCGAGGGGCCCAGGCCCAGGTCCCTGGCCCACTTATTTGAGGTGCCCGTCCACCCTGGTCCCAGCAGACGCTGTCCCAGGCACGCGTCACTCTGCAGGAGTCGTCAGTTAGGGGCAAGAGATGATCCCTCCAGATATGCAGCCCCCCCAGGCTGCGGCCGGGGGCGACACTCTCTGTCCTCACTCGAAACCTACCGGTTCTTCCTCTCTGTGTTCACAACACCTGTTACTCTGGCTTTAACTCCCTTTTATATCTACACTCCCCAAATTCTTTTAGATTTTGATCAAAACCATTTCACTCGCTCAGAGATTCGTTTGCACATAAAAGCTTGACAGATTAACTTACGTTGTGCAGAAGTATACAAAGTTGTCCCATTTGTTACAGTTTCAAAAGTGGCCCCACACTCTTTTCCCTTTTTACACATAAAACCTTCACAGATCCAGTTACTTTGTGCAGAAGTATACAACGTTGCCCCATTTGTTACAGTTTCAAAAGTGGCCCCGCACTGTTTTCCCTTTTTGCTCATAAAACCTCCACAGATCCGGCTGAGCGCTGTGGCTCACGCCTGTAATCCCAGCATTTTGGGAGGCCGAGGCGGGTGGCTCACGAGGTCAGGAGATCGAGACCATCCTGGCTAACACAGTGAAACCCCATCTCTACTAAAAAAATAAAAATAAAAAGAATTAGCCCGGCGTGGTGGTGAACGGCTGTAGTCCCAGCTACTCGGGAGCCTGAGGCAGGAGAATGGCGTGAACCCGGGAGGCGGAGCTTGCAGTGAGCCTAGATTGCGCCACTGCACTCCAGCCTGGGCGACAGAGCAAGACTCCGTCTCAAAAAAAATAAAAAATAAAAAATAAAAACCTTCACAGATCCAGTTACATTGTACAGAAGAATACAACGTTGCCCCATTTGTTACAGTTTCAGAAGTGGTCCTGCACTATTTTCCCTTTCTTAAAAAAAGAGCCTTGATACAGTAGCTGCAAAAAGATTTGAAAGGAAAAAACTTTTGGAAAATCTAAATATATATATAGCAGTTAAAAAGCAAGCCCAGGCCGTGAGTAGCGCTCACGGCTTCCACGTCAGGATTCCCACGAATTCACCTACTTTCTACGTGTCCGCATCCTGCCTCCCACCACCACCGCCCACCTCATCATAGCTAAATGATTCAGAGGCGGCTACTGGCCCAAATGGGGCGGGTCAGACCGTCTGCTCTGAAAACTTGAAGTTACTAGTCCAATCATTAGCACGGGATTGTGTTAATGGCAGTTTTCTGGACGGAAACTCCAGGATACCCTGCTGCTAATGAGTCCGCGGACGCCATGATTTCTCCCCTTCCCAACTTTATTTTCTGTTCCTTGACTTACATTAGGGACATTCTAATGCACTTTCCTTTTGTTTAAGCTGGCTGGGGTTGGTTTCTGATGTTTGCAACCAAAGTAGCCTTAATAAAGATTGAATAAGGTGGGGAAATGGTTATATGTAGTTCTATGGGACATGCAGGACACCATCGGTTTCAGCTTTTGCTGCATAATTCACTCCAAAACTCAGTGGTTTAAAACAGCTAAGATTTATTATTTCTTATGATTCTGAGGGTTAGCTGGGCAGTTCCTCCGCAGTTGGATTCTGATGGAGAGACAGCAGGGCTGGAAGTTTCAAGATGACCTCCTGATATAGTTGGGATAATTCCTCCAAATCTGAAGTTGAAATTGATCCCCAATGTTGGAGGTGGGGCCTAGTGGGAAGTGTGTGGGTCATGGGGGCAGATCCCTCATGCATGGCTTGGTGCCATTCTTCAGTAACGAGTGAGTTCTCACTCTTTTAGTTTGCATGAGAGCTTGTTGTTCAAAAAGAGCCTGGCATGTCCTCCTCTCTCTCTCTCACTCCCTTTCTCTCTCCATGTGACATGACAGCTCCCCTTCCCCTTCCACCATGATTGGAAGCTCCCTGAGGCCTCACCAGAAGCAGATGCTGACACTGTGCTTCCTGTATAGCCTGCAGAACCATGAGCCAAATAAACCTGTTTTATTTATAAATTACCCAGCCTCCGGTATTCCTTTATAACAGCACAAAACAAACTAGTACACCTCCCTTACATAACTGGCAGTGGGGTGGGCTGTGGGCTGGGCCGTCTTGGTCACATCCTCCAGAAGCCTGGACTGGCATCTCAAGGTCATATACATCTCCTGCTGCATTCTCACGTTCAAAGAAATCACAAGGCTAAGAGTCAAGGGAGAGAAATGAACTTCCCTTCTGCATAAGAGGAGCAGCAAATTCACATTCCAAAAGGGATTGCATACCGGGTGAAGGAATTTGCGGGCATATTTTACAATCTTCAACACAACACACACACACACACACACACACAAATATAAGGGCACTCTGGGAGGCCAAGGCAGGCGGATCACCTGAGGTCAGGAGTTCAAGACCAACCTGGCCAACATGGCGAAACCTCATTTTTACTAAAAATACAAAAATTAGCTGGACTTGGTGGTGCATGCTTGTAGTCCCAGCTACTCCGGAGGCTGACAGGAGAATTACTTGAACCTGAGAGGCAGAGGTAAGCTGAGATCATACCACTGCACTCTAACCTGAGCGACTGCACCCTATTTACAAGAGAGGCTTGCAAATATCTGGCTTTTCTAGGTTCTACACTGGCATGGGAATTCATAAAAAGTGTCAAGTAGATAGCGGATGTCTCCTGAGTATGTTTGTATTTGGAAGGGGCAGTCGGGGGCTGGGGACGGGGGGAGAGAGAGGGAGAGAGAACAGCACCATCCAGAGACAAATGGGAAGGAGAGGGCAGTGGATGGAAGGAGCACTGTGTGGGAGGAGTGGGTACAGAGCACGTGAATTGGGGAGGAGTCAGGAGGAGTGGGTACACAGCATGTGAGTTGGAAGATCAGCTTTTTCTCAGAAGCAAGGAAGAGGGAAGTTGAGGAAGCCCTCGGAGGATGGCCTCCCCTGGCTCAGAAGAAGAAAATTATTGAGATAGGATGGGCTGGCAAGCTGAGGGAGTGATAGTGCCAGAGGCTTAGGGTGGAAGGGCTCCAAGAGGTTCAGCCACACCCCCCGAGAGGTGGACAGCCTTCATGTCCCTGTGAGGCTGCCTGTTCTGCTCCTGGCCAGACTCGGTCGCCAGCAGATTTTCTCATGTGGAATCTGTATGCCTGTGTGGCAAATATCTATTGTTTATCTTTCAGGAGTGCAGCTCCAGGCCCTTTTTTTTTGGAGATGGAGTCTCACTCTGTCGCCCAGGCTGGAGTGCAGTGGCGCGATCTTGGCTCACTGCAACTCCCCTTCCTGAGTTCAAGCTATTCCCCTGCCTCAGCCTCCTGAGTAGCTGGGACTACAGGCACCTGCCACCATGCCCGGCTAGATTTTGTATTTTTAGTAGAGACAGAGTTTCACCATGTTGGCCACGCTGGTCTTGAACTCCTGACCTCAGGTGATCCATCTGCCTCGGCCTCTCAAAGTGCTGGGATTACAGCATGAGCCACTGTGCCTGGCCAGATCTTCCTTTCTATTGGCTCCCCAATCTCCATCAGAGGAAGATGCCCCTCCTCGCCCAGGGCTGCCTCCCATCCAGGGCTTCCTCTGCCAAAATTGAGGGCACAGATCCTCCCTCTCCTGCCTATGCCTGGATCTTGCAGCCTGGTTTCTGGAGTCCCCTTGGTTTCTCTTAAATTTCCACCCTTTCCATTTTTTCTGTGAGCCTCTTAGGCCAGGGGTTCTGGTACCATCTATGGCCTGTTAGGTTCTGAGCCGCATTGCAAGAGGTGAGCGGCATGTGAACAATTACCACCTGAGCTCAGCCTCCTGTCAGATCAGCAGCAGGATTAGATTCTCATAGGAGTGCGAACCCTTTTATGAACTGTGCATGCGAGGGATCTAAGTTGCGCACTCCTTATGAGAATCTGTCTAATGCCTGATGATCTAAGGTGGAACAGTTTCATCACTAAACCACGCTGCCTTGCTGCCCCACATCTGTAGAAAAATTGTCTTCCACGAAACTAGTCCTTGGTGCCAACAAGGTTGGGGACCGCTGCCTTAGGTCATTCCTAAAAGTTCCCTCTAGCTTAAGAAACCAGTCCCAAGCCAGTAACATTTGCCACTGTTCTGTCTTTTAATCTTTGCTCATCGGTCCTCATCTCATCTGCAGAACAAATTGACACCCTCGTCCATTGTGGCTGTCCTTCAGTACTGTATGAACAAGGGCTCCTCTGGAGGGAGGCTTACCTCCTCTGTTCTAGAAATACGATCTTATAGGTTATGCTTATGACTATAGTAGATTTTTTAACAGCTAGACCTTACATATGGTCAATTATGTCCCAGAGAGGAGTCCTTCCCACCCCATGAGTGCTGTCCAGTTTGGTCTTTCTCATCAAGTTCTTGTTATTTTAACACAAAGGCAAATGTATAAATGGACACGTATTGCTTCATCTGCTCACTGCTCTTCCCTGTCCCCCTGTGGTTCTCCTGGGGCTGTCAACCCCAGCCTCCCACTCTGTCCCCATCTATAGGGAAAGGGAAGTGACCTGGGCTTGGCCAATCAGATCATCTTATGCCCCTGGCAACAGCTGCGCATGTGATGGAAGAATCTTTGTCTATAATTGGAATACCAAGAAGTTCTCTTTTGCTGGTGGTCTTTGGCTCAGACAATATAAGCTTGAGGCTATTAAGTGGCACTTTCTCCAGCTATAGGGAGGAAGTCCTTTTCCAGTGCGAGAAGAAGAGGCCAGCCTTCAGCAGGAAAGCAGAGCTCAAAGACAAAGAGAAGGAAAGAGAGTCCCAGTGACATTGGTTGAACCCCTGGCTCTAGCTCTGCCTGAGCCCACAAATATCCTTTCTGTTTAAGCTAGTTTGAATTTTTTTTGTCACTTCCAAGCGGATAAGTCCTGACATAATAATATGCTATTAGCTCATGTGGGAGCTGGCTGTTTAAAAGATCTTGGCATCCCTCTTGCTCCCTTTCTTGCCATGTGACATACCTGTTGCCTTTTCCCCTTCTGCTATGGCTGTGAGCTTCCTGGGCTTCCCCACCCAGAAGCAGATGCCAGCACTGTGCTTCTTGTACAGCCTGCAGAACTATGAGCCAAAAAAACCTCCTTTTTTTTTTTTGTAAATAAGTTACCCAATTTCTGGAATTCCTTTATATCAACACAAAATGGACTAGTTTACAGAAGATAAGACATATTAAATATCTTAATTGGAATCAATATCTAAATGTGCTTAGATTCATTTTGAATTGAGGAGGAGTATAAAGAAACCGTAAGAACGGATACAAATTAAAATAAAAGAATTTTTGTTTCCATTATTTCTGTGGTAGCTGCTATTATCTTAAGTCCTCAAGCGAAGGTAAGGTAAAGAATGCTAACATAGCCCTGCCACATCAACAGTTGCCCCCTGCGCCCTTCTGCGAAGTATCAGCCAGCAGTGACGGTCACAGTTGTGCAGTTTGAGGGATGTAATCAGCACCCTTTCCCAATGCAGCACGTGAAATACTCAGCTTTGAAATGTTGTTATTGGACTGAAGAAGTGATTTCAGAAAACTTTTCACAGTGGGCATCTTTGTGTGGAATGAAGACAGGTGACAATGTCAGGAACCCTACTGTCCACGGCCTTGACCCAGCTGCTACGTTCCAGTGAGGATTCAATTCCATGCACATCAGTGAAAGCTTGCTGTATCCCTGGCTATGCTGAGGGCAGGAAATGTAAAAGACGCAGGTCTCAAACTTTAGGTTTATTTATTTATGTATTTATTTATTTATTTTTGAGACGGAGTCTTGCTCCGTCACCCAGGCCAGAGGGCAGTGGCATGATCTCGACTCACTGCAACCTCCGTCTCCCTGGGTCAAGCTATTCTCCTGCCTCAGCCTCCCAAGTAGCTGGGATTACAGGCTCACGCTGACATGCTGGGCTAATTTTTGTATTTTTAATAGAGACGAGGTTTCGCCATGTTGGCCAGGCTGGTCTTGAACTCCTGACCTCAGGCGATCCGCCTTCCTCAGCCTCTCTAAGTGCTGGGATTACAGACATGAGCCACCGTGCTGGGGCCCTTTTAGACTCATTTAAAGCTCAGTGGTTCCCAACTTTTGGGGGTCATATACTCTTTTGAGAATATGATCAAACTTATGGACTTTCTCCCCAGAAAAAATAAATGTACACACAAAACATTTGCCTGCCTGTAACCCTCCCCCATGCTGGCTTATGGATCCCAGGAAAAGAACCTAGGTGCTCTGTTCCACAGACAAACAACATGTAATTAGATGACTAATAGTACTAGCATCCAATGCCTTCTCAATGTCAGGCATTTTACTCATATCAGCTCAATTAATTCTCATAGCAACTCTGTGAGAATTAGAAATAGAATCTATTATGTGCCCATTTTACAGATGATGAAATTGAGGACTAGACCTAATAAAGAATAAAGAACTCGATTAAGATTACACAGCTAGCAGTGGTGGAATTGGAGCTCAGAGATGGCTGACTCTGGAGTTAATAGTCATGTGAGGTTGGCCAAGGGATAATTGGCCAGGTGCTCCGAGGCAAA
Source organism: Homo sapiens (assembly GCF_000001405.40). Lineage (NCBI taxonomy): Eukaryota > Metazoa > Chordata > Mammalia > Primates > Hominidae > Homo > Homo sapiens. The sequence goes on from NC_000001.11 coordinate 229,349,736, forward strand.
AAATAGAGAAGGTGGAGACTGTGCAGTCTGCCTCAAGGCAGAGCCAGACTGCCTGAGTTTGAATCTTGGTTTTGCCACTAACTACGTGACTTTGGTCAGGTAACTTCTCTATGCTTCAGTGTCCCTAGGCATGAAACAGAGATAATAACAGTTCCTGTGAAGACCAGATAAAATTGCAGCTTATGAAGTAGTGAGAACTGTGTCTGCATTGAATAAGCAATCAATAAATGGTAGCTCTTTTTATTGTTAAGCAGGATGACCCCAGTGCTTTGAGGATGGCTCCACATACGAAGGAAGAACGACAAAGAACAGATGTATCCAGAAACACAAGCAGAGAACTGGCTTAGGGTCTTCAAACTGCAGGTGAACAGTTGTCACTAGTACTATGTAATTTAGGATAGTGAGGAATGAAGAAAACTTGGGTTCCACAGTAGAATAGTTTGCTGGTGAGTTTCAAGAATGAGGTTTTGCCAGCCACGGTGGCTTGTGCCTATAATCCCACTACTTTACGAGGCCAAGGCGGGAGGACCACTTGAGGCCAGGAGTTCAAGACCAGCCTGGGCAATGTAACAAGACCCTGTCTCTTAAAAAATAAAAGATATTACCCAGGCATGGTGGAGCATGCCTGTAGTCCCAGCTACCCAGGAGGTTGAGGTGGGAGGATTGTTTGACCCCAGGATGTCGAGGCTGCAGTGAGCTATGATCACACCACTGCACTCCAACCTGGGTGTCACAGCAAGACCCATCTGTATAAAAAATGAGGTTTTAGCTGGGCGCAGTGGCTCATGCCTGTAATCCCAGCACTTTGGGAGGCCCACGGGGGTGAATCACCTGAGGTCAGGAGTTCAAGACCAGCCTGGCCAACATGGTGAAACCTCATCTCTACCAAAAAATACAAAAATTATTCAATCATGACTGGCGCATGCCTGTAGTCCCAGCTTCTCTGGAGGCTGAGACATGAGAATGGCTTGAACCCAGGAGGCAGAGGTTGCAGTGAGCCGAGATCGTGCCACTGCACTCCAGCCTGAGTGACAGAGTGAGACTGTGTCTCCAAATAAAATAACTAAAAATAAAAAATAAAAAAATGAGGTTTAATAAAGTGAGAGGGTAAACGTGAAATCTGGGAAGCTAAGGAATGTGTGAATAGTGAGGAAATGAATGTAGCTGGTATAAGTCACTCATTTAAAAAGTCTAATACAGAACCAGGCTTGTTATCATGCTGATCCCGTCATTGATGGATTAAAATAAATCAGGCCAGGCAAGGTGGCTCACGCCTGTAATCCCAGCAGTTTGGGAGGCCGAGGTGGGCAGATCACCTGAGGTCAGGAGTTTGAGACCAGCCTGACCAACATGGAGAAACCCCGTCTCTACTAAAAATACAAAATTAGCCAGGCGTGGTGGTGCATACCTGTAATCCCAGCTACTCGGGAGGCTGAGGCAGGAGAATCCCCTGAACCTGGTAGGCAGAGGTTGTGGTGAGCTGAGATGACACCATTGCACTCCAGCCTGGGCAACAAGAGCGAAACTCCATCTCAAAAAAATATATATATTTGTGTTTGTAAGAAAGTCACGTTGATAACTTTTTGGGGAATTATACTGCATTAGTATGCTAGAGCTGCCATAAAAAAGTAGCATAGACTGGGTGGCTTAAACAACAGAAATTTATTTCTCACAGTTCTGGCTGTGAAGTCCAAGAGCAAAGTGCCAGCATCGTTGGTTTCTGGCAAAGAGTTTTCTTCCTGGCTTGTAGATAGCCCCTATCTCCCTGTGTCCTCACATGGCTGAAAGAGAGTTCTGGGGTCTCTTCCTCTTCTTATGAGGGCATCAGCCCTATCAGATCAGGGCTTAAGTCTCATGACCTCATTCAACTTTAACACCTCCTCACAGGCCCCATCTCCAAATATATAGTCACATCGGAGGTCAGGGTTTCCACATAAGAATTTTGGATTAGCGCTTCAACATATGCAATTCAGTTCATTGCACATACTTTGACAGTTTTGGACATCTCATTGAGATGTCCAAGTGGACTCAACTTCCGGAACCAATTAAACTTAATTAACCAAAAAAGTGCACTTCCTGGCCAGGTAAGCCCAGTAGCACCTTTTCTTGGCTCCTGAAGTGAGTCTCAAATGCCAATAGAATTTATCTTCCTTGACTCTGTTTCTCTGTGCATCTCACCACCCGCTCCCCGCTGCCACCCTATCTCATTACTTTTGCTTCTGTTTCTGGTCCTTAGACAAATTTGTTTCCAGTTCAGATTTGCGCATGGCCAAGAATTTATTCCCCAATGGTGGCAGCAATGATTAGGAATGTAGTTTTATGGTCCAACCGTTTTGTGATATAGCAGGTTGATGTGAATCTATTCTCTGCCATGTGAGATACAACAAAGAATTGGGTAAAAACCTTGCTCATATGTCTGTCTATGAGTTCACGTGAATTGAGAAAGTATTTCATGGACACTGGTAAGGAAAATGATGCTTTGTGATATGGACTGGCTCTGCTGTAAGCTACAGATTCTAAAACTTAGATCTACAACAAAGAAGGACTGTCTCAGAGTGTCTGTGGAAAGGACTGTACCAGATACTTCTAACTGCTGATGTCTCAAGGAACGGATTTATGGCTATAGACTTGCAAGCTGATGCGCCTAGACAACTGTCAGGATTCGGGACTGAGTGGGGATTTCCAGAACTCTTATTAGTGGTTCTCAACTGGTGTTGATTTTGTGCCCCGGGCAGCATTTGGCAATGTCCAGAGACATTTTTGGTTGTCACAGCAGGGGAGGGGATTGCTACTGACCTTGAGTGGAAAGACAGCAGGGATGCTACCACATACCCTATAAGACACAGGACACTGTCCACAACAAAGAATTATCTGGTTCAAAATATCAGTAGCGCTGAGCCTGAGAAACCCTGTTCTAGAGGCATGTGCTTTTGTTTGGTTATTCCTTAGGAAATTTTAAATTCTGTAAGGATTGGTTTAACTTGTAAAATGCAAATGATTTTTTGTTGTTGTAGTAGAATATATATAACATAAAATTTACCATTTTAAGAAAGAAAAAAAGAAAAAAATTACCATTTCAACCATTTGTAAGTGCAGAATTCAGTAACACTAAGTGCATTTATGTTGTTGTGCAAATATCACCAATGTCCACCTCCAGAATTTTCCGTCATCTCAAACTAAAACTGTACCTATTAAATGATATTTCTCCATTCTCCTCTGCCCCAAGTCCCTAGTTATCGCTATTCCATTTTCTGCCTCTATGAATTTACCTACTCTAGATACCTCATGTAAGTGAAATTATACAGTATTTGTCCTTTGTGTCTGGCTTATGTCACTTAAAATAATGTCTTCTAAGATTCATCCATGTTGTAGCAATGTGTCAGAATTTTCCTCTTTTTAAGGCTGAATAATATTGCATTATCTGGATAGACCACACTTTGCTTATCCATTCGTCTGTCAACAGATACTTTGGTTGCCTCCGTATTTTAGCTATTGTGAATAATGCTGCTATGAACATGGATGTACAAATATCTCTTCCAGACCCTGCTTTCAATTCTTTGGTATATGCCCAGCAGTGGAATCACTGTATCATATGGTAATTCTATTTTTAATTTTTTTTGAGGAACTGCCATACTATTTTTGACAGAAACTGTACTTTTTTTTTTTTTTTTTGAGACAGGGTCTCACATCCAGGCTGGAGTGCAGTGGTACAATCTCGGCTCACTGCAACTTTTCCCTCCTGGGCTCAAGTGATCCTCCTACCTCAGCCTCCCAAGTAGCTGGGACCACAGACACACACCACCATACCTGGCTAATTCTTGTATTTTTCGTAGAGATGGGGTTTCACCATGTTGCTCAGGCTGGTCTTGACATCCCAAGCTCAATCAATGTGCCCACCTCAGCCTCCCAAATTGCTGTGATTACAGGCATGAGCCACCACACCCAGCCACCATTTTTATCTCCACCAGCAATGCACAAGGATTCCAATTTCTCCACATCCTTGTCCACACTTGTTATACTCTGTTTTTTTAATAGTAGCCATCCTGATGTGTGTGAAGTGGTATCTCATTGTGGTTTTGATTTGCATTTTCCTAACGTTAGTGATGTTGAGCATCTTTTCATGGGCTTCTTGGTCTTTTGTATATCTTCTTTGCAAAATGTCTATTCATGTTATTTGCCTATTTTTGAATTCAATTCTTTGTCTTTCTGTCATCGAATTTTAAGAGTTCTTGGTGCATTTGAATACTAATCCCTTTTCAAGTATATGATTTGCAAATATTTTCTCCCATTCTGTAGATTTCCTGTTATTCTACTGATAGCTTCTTTTGATGAACAAATTTTAAAAATTTTTTGTAAGGCTCAATTTGTCTATTTCTTATGTTTTTGCCTGTGCCTTCAGTGTTATAGCCAAGAAATCACTGCCAAACCCAATATTATATAGCTTTTGCCCAACATTTTCTTCTAAGAGTTTTAAAGGTTTAGGTCCTACATTTAGGTCTTTGACCCATTTTGAGTTAATTTTTGTTTATGGTGTTAGGTAAGGGTCCAGCTTCATTCTTTTATGTGTGAATATCCAATTTTCCTAGCATTATTTGTTGAAAAGACTTTACTTTTCCCATTGAATGGTCTTGGCACCCTTGTCAAAAATCATTTGACCATATATCTGAGGGCTGATTACTGGACTCTCTATTCCATTGGTCTATATGTCTGACTTTTTGCCCATACCATACTGTTTTGACTACTATAGCTTTGCAATATGTTTTGAAATCAGGAAGTGTGAGTCTTCCAACATTGTTCTTCTTTTCCAGATTGTTTTAGCTATTCAAGGTCCCTTACAATTCCATATGCATTTTAAGATGAGTTTTTCCATTTCTGCAAAAAAAACTGCTAGGATTTTGATAGAGATTGTATTGAATCTGTAGGTCATTTTGGGTAGTAATAGCATCTTATTAAGTCTTATTAATAGTGTCTTATTAAGTCTTCCAATCCATTAATATGAGATGTCTTTCCATTTATTAGTATCTTCTTAAATTTCTCTCACCAATCTTTTATAATTTTACCTGTTTTTTTAAAAGACAGTCTCATTATGTTGCCCAGGCTGGTCTCAAACTCCTGGGCTCAAGAGATCCTCTCACCTTGGCCCCTGAGTAGCTGGGACTGCAGGCACACACCACCATGCCTGGCAACAATTTGTAGTTTAAATGTGCAAGTCTTTTGCATCCTTGATTAAGTTTATTCCTAAGTATTTTATTCTATTTGTTGCTATTGTAAATATAATTTTTTAAAATTTCCCATTGGATTGTTGATTGTTAGATTATAGAAGTGCAACTGATTTTTCTATGTTAATTTTCTATTCTGCAACTTTTCAGAAGTCATTTATTAGTCCTGACAGTTCTCGTATGTGTTGTATGTCTTTAGGGTTTTCTATTTATAAGATCATTTATCTGCAAACAGGTAATTGTACTTCTTCCTTTCTAATTTGAATGGTTTTTATTTCTTTTTCTTACCTACCTGCTCTGGCTAGGACTTCCAATGCTATGTTGAATAGAAATAGTAAAAGAAGGCAACCTTGTCTTGTATCTGATCTTGGGGGGAAAGCTTTCAGTCATTCAACATTGAAGGCAATGCTAGCTGTGGGGTTTCATATATGGCCTTTATTATGTTAAGGAAGTTTACTTCCAATCCTAGTTTTTTTCAGTTTTTCAGTTTGTTTTGGTCACAAACAAGTGTTGAATTTTGTCAAATGATATTTTTCTGAATCAATTAAAATGTTCATAGGATTTGTTTCCTTCATTCTGTTAACATGGAGTTTTACATTGATTGATTGAATTTTTTGGTTGGGGGATAGGGTCTCACTTCCATCACCCAGGTGAGAGTACAGTGGCACACTATCAGAGCTCACTGCAGCCTCAACCTTCTGGGCTCAAGCAATTCTCCTGCCTCATTTTTTGATTTTTTTGTAGAGATGAGGTCTCACTATGTTGCCCAGGCTGGTCTTGAATTCCTAGGCTCAAGTGATCCTTCCACCTTGGCCTCCCAAAATTCTGGGATTATAGGCATGAGCTACTGCACCTGGTCAGATTTATTTTCATAGTTGAACTATCCTTGCATTCTGAGAGTAAATCCCACTTGGTCATGGGGTATACTCCTTTTATTATGCTGCTAATTTTGTTTCATAGTGTTCTGTTGAAGCTCTTTTTTTTTGCATCAATATTTATAAGTACAGATTTGTACTTTCTTGAGCTGTCTTTGGCTTTGGTGTTAGAGTAATACAGACCTCAAAGATTAAGCTAACAAGTGTTCTCTCCAACATTTCAGCAGAATGTGAGAAGGATTTGGTGTTAAATCCTCGCTAAATGTTTGGTCAAATGCACCAGTGAAGCAATATTGTCCAGAGTTTTCTTTGTTGAGAGGTTTTTGATTACCAATACAATCTCCTTACTACTTAAAGGTCTATTCATATTTTCTGTTTCTTCATGATTCACTCTTGATATCTTGTGTGTTTCTATGAATTTTTCTCACTGATTTCTTTGAGTTCATTGTAGATTCTGGATGTTAGTCCTGTGTCAGATGTATAGATTGTGAAGATTTTTCTCCTACTCTGTGGGTTGTCTGTTTACTCTGCTGACTGTTCCTTTTGCTGTGCAAAAGCTCTTTAGTTTAATTAGGTTCCAACTATTTAGCTTTGTTTTTATTGCATTCACTTTGAAGTTCTTGGTCATGAAACCCTTGCCTAAGCCAATGTTTAGAAGGGTTTTTCCAATGTTATCTTCTAGAATTTTTACAGTTTCAGGTCTTACGTTTAAGTCCTTAATCCATTTTGAGTTGATTTTTGTGTAAGGTGAGAGATGAGGATCCAATTTCATTCTCCTACATGTGGCTAACTAATTATCCCAGCACCATTTGTTGAAAAGGGTGTCCTTTCCCCACTTTGTGTTTTTGTTTGCTTTGTTGAAAATCAGTTGGCTGTAAATATTTGGGATTATTTCTGGGTTCTCTATTCTGTTCCATTGGTCTATGGGCCTATGTTTATACCAGTACGACGCTGTTTTGGTGACTATAGCCTTATAGTACAGTTTGAAATCAAGTAGCGTAATGTGTCCAGATTTGTTCTTTTTGCTTAGTCTTGCTTTGGCTATGCAGACTCTTTTTTTGGTTCCACACAAATTTTATAATTGTTTTTTCTAATTCTATGAAGACTAATGGTGGTATTTTGATGGGAATTTCACTGAATTTGTAGATTGCTTTTGGCAGTATGGTCATTTTCACAATATTGATTCTACCCATCCATGAGCATGGGATGTGTTTCCATTTGTTTGTGTTGTCTATGATTTCTTTCAGCAGTGTTTTGTAGTTTTCCTTGTAAAGGTCTTTCGACTTCTTGGTTAGGTATATTCCTAAGGTTTTTGTTTCTTTTTTTTTTTTTGCAGCTATTATAAAAGGGATTGTGTTCTTGATTTGATTCTCCACTTGGTCACTGTTGGTGTATAGAAGAGCTACTGATTTTTGTACATTAGTCTTGTATGTGGAAACTTTGCTGAATTCTTTTATCAGTTCTAGGAACTTTCTGGAGGAGTTCTTAGGGTTTTCAAGATAAACAATCATATTGTCAGCAAAGAGTGACAGTTCGACTTTCTCTTTACCAGTTTAGAGGCTCTTTATTTCTTTCTGTTATCTAATTGCTCTGGCTAGGACTTCCAGTACTATGTTAAAGAGGAGTGGTAAGAGTGGGCATCCTTGTCTTCTTCCAGTTCTCAGAGGGAATGCTTTCAACTTTTCCCCATTCAGTATCATGTTGGCTGCGGGTTTGTCATAGATGGCTTTTATTACATTAAGGTATGTCCCTTGTATGCAGATTTTGCTGAGAGCTTTAATCAAAAAGGGATGCTGGATTTTGACAAATGCTTTTTCTGCATCTATTGAAATGATCGTGTGATTTTTGTTTTTAATTCTGTTTATGTGGTGTTATCACATGAATTGATTTGCATATGTTAAGCCATCCCTGCATCCCTAGTATGAAACCCACTTGATCATGGTGGATTATCTTTTTGATATGTTGTTGAATTCGGTTAGCTAGTATTTTGTTAAGGATTTTAGCATCTATATTCATCACGGATATCGGTCTGTAGTTTTCTTTTTTGGTTATGTCCTTTCCTGGTTTTGGTATTAGGGTGATGCTGGCTTCATAGAATGAATTAGGGAGGGTTCTTTCTTTATCTTGTGGAATAGTGTCAAAAGGATTAGTACCAATTCTTCTTTGAATGTCTGGTAGAATTCTGCTGTGAATCCATCGGGCCCTGGACTTTTTTGTGTTTTTTTGGTAATTTTTAAATTACCATTTCAATCTCGCTGCTCGTTATTGGTCTGTTCAGGGTATCTAATTCTTCCTGATTTAAGCTAGGAAGGTTGTATGTTTCCAGGAGTTTATCCATCTCTTGTAGGTTTTCTAGTTTATGTGCATAAAGGTGTTCATAGTAGCCTTGAATGATCTTTTGTATTTTGGTGGTGTCAGTTGTAATATCTCCTGTTTCATTTCTTAGTGAGGTTATTTGGATTTTCTCTCTTCTTTTCTTGGTTAATCTTGGTAATAGTCTATCCATTTTATTTATCTTTTCAAAGAATCAGCTTTTTGTTTCATTTGTCTTTTGTATTTTTTTCTTGTTTGTTTCAATTTCATTTAGTTCTGCTCTGATCTCTGTTATTTTCTTTCTTCTGCTGGGTTTGGGTTTGGTTTGTTCTTGTTTCTCTAGTTCCTCGAGGTGTGACCTTAGAGGGTCAGTTTGTGCTCTTTCCATCTTTTTGATGTAAGCATTTAGAGCTGTGAACTTTCCTCTTAGCACCATGTTTGCCATATCCCAGAGGTTTTCATAGGTTGTGTAATTATTGTCATTCAGTTTGAAGAATTTTTAATTTCCATCTTGATTTCATTTTTGACCCAGTGCTCATTCAGGATCAGGTTATTTAATTTCTGTATATTTGCATGGTTTTGAAGGTTCCTTTTGGAGTTGATTTCCAGTTTTTTTCCACTGTGATCTGAGAGAGTGCTTGATATAATCTCAATTTTCTTAAATGTATTGAGGCTCATTTTATGGCCTATCATATGGCCTATCTTGGAGAAAGTTCCATGCGCTGTTGAATAGAACAGGAATTCTGCAGTTGTTGGATAAAATGTTCTGTATATATCTGTTAAGTCTATTTGTTCCAAGCTACAGTTTAAATCCATTGTTTTTTGTTGACTTTCTGTCTTGATTACCTGTCTAGTGCTGCCAGTGGAAGATTGAAGTCCCCCAATATTATTGTGTTGCTGTCTATCTCACTTCTTAGGTCTGTTAGTAATTGTTTTATAAATTTGGAATCTCCAGTGTTAGGTGCGTATATGTTTAGGATTGTGATATTTTCCTGTTGGACAAGGCCTTTTACCATATATAATGTCCCTCTTTGTCTCTTTTAACTGCTGTTGCTTTAAAGTTTGCTTTGTCTGATATAAGAATAGCTACCCCTGCTCGCTTTTGGTGTCCATTTGCATGAAATGCCTTTTTCTACCCCTTTACTTTAAGTTTATGTGAGTCCTTATGTGCTAGGCGAGTCTCCTGAAGGCAGCAGATAGTTGGTTGGTGAGTTCTTACCCATTCTGCAGTTCTGTGTCTTTTAAATGGAGCCATTAGGATATTTACATTTAATGTTGGTATTAAATTCAACATGCATTCATCATGCTCTTTGTTGCCTGTGTGCTTTTGTTTTTGGTTTTTTGCTCTTGCTTTTTAACTTCTATTTTTGCTTTATAGGTCCTGTGTGATTTATGCTTTAAAGAGGTTCTGTTTTGATGTGTTTCCAGGATTTGTTTCAAAATTTAGAACTCCTTTTAGCAGTTCTTTTAGTGGTGGATTGGTAGGGATGAATTCTCTCAGCATTTGTTTGTCTGAAAAAGACTGTATCCTTCCTTCATATATGATGCTCAGTTTCACTGGATACAAAATTCTTGGCTGATAACTGCTTTGTTTGAGGAAGCTGAAGATAGGACCCCAATCCCTTCTAGCTTGTAGGGTTTCTGCTGAGAAATCTGCTGTAAATCTGATAGGTTTTCCTTTATAGGTTACCTGGTGCTTCTGTCTCACAGCTCTTAGGATTCTTTCCTTCGTCTTAACTTTGGATAACCTAATGACAATGTGCCTAGGTGAAGATCTTTTTGCAACGAATTTCCCGGATGTTCTTTGTGCTTCTTGTATTTGCATGTCTAGGTCTCTAGTGAGGCTGGGGAAATTTTCCTTGATTATTCCCCCAAATATGTCCTCCAAGCTTTTAGAATTCTCTTCTTCCTCAGGAACACAAATTATTCTTAGTTTTGGTCATTTAACATAATCCCAGACTTCTTGGAGGCTTTGTTCATATTTTCTTATTCTTTTTTCTTTGTCTTTATTGGATTGGGTTAATTCGAAGACCTTGTCTTCAAGCTCTGAATTTCTTTCTTCTACTTGTTCATTTCTATTGCTGAGACTTTCCAGAGCATTTCATGTTTCTAAATGTGTGTACAAAGTTTCCTGAATTTTGTATTGCTTTATCTTTAAGCTATCTATTTCCTTGAACATTTCTCCCTTCACTTCTTGTATCATACTTTGGATTTCCTTGCATTGGGTTTTGCCTTTCTCTGCTCCCTCCCTGATTAGCTTAATAACTAACTTCCTAAATTCTTTTTCAGGTAAATCAGGGATTTCTTGGTTTGTTGGATCCATTGCTGGTGGATTAGTGTGATTTTTGGGGGGTATTGAAGAGCCTGGCTTTGTCATGTTACCAGGATTGGTTTTCTGGTTCCCTCTCATTTGGGTAGGCTCTGTCAGAGGGAAGGTCCGGGGCTGAAGGCTATTGTTCAGATTCTTTTGTCCCAAGGGGTGTTCCCTTGATGTAGTACTCTCCCACTTTTCTTATGGATGTAGCTTCCTGAGAGCCGAACTGCAGTGATTGTTGTCTCTTTTCTGGGTCTAGCCACCCATCGAGTCTATCTGGCTCTGGGCTAATACTGGGAGTTGTCTGCACAGAGTCCTATAATGTGAATCGTCTATGGGTCTCTCACCTGTGGATACCAGCACCTGTTCCGGTGGAGGTGGCGGGAGCAGGGTGGGGAGGGGTTGTAATTGGCCTGTTATTTTTCTTCTCTTTTTATTTGTCCCTCCTGTGATTTTTTTTTCCTTCTGCTCGTTAGCTGTGGGTTAAGTTTTTTCTTCTTTTTCTTATTCCTTAAGACATAAACTTTCGAGATGGATTCTCACTCTGTTGCCCAGGCTGGAGTGCAGTGGCGCTATCTCGGCTCACTGCAACCTCCACCACCCGGTTCAAGCGAGTCTCATGCCTCAGCCTCCTGAGTAGCTGGGACTACAGGTGCCCGCCACCATGCTTGGCTAATTTTTTTGTATTTCTAGTAGAGACGGGGTTTCACCATGTTGGCCAGGCTGGTCTCGAACTTGTGATCTCAGGTGATCTCCCTGCCTCCCAAAGTGCTGGGATTACAGGTGTGAGCCACGGTGCCCAGCTTGGCTGACTTTAATCTGTATCCTTTCACTGTAGTAAACTATAACCAGCCAGGTGCAGTGGCTCACACCTCTAATCCTAACACTTTGGGAGGCCAAAACAGGAGGATCACTTAAGCCCAGGAGTTTGAGACCAGTCTGGGCAACATAGCAAGACCCTGTCTCTGCTAAAAATCAAAATTAAAAAAAAAAATTAGCTGGGTGTGGTCATACGTGCCTGTAGTCCCAGCTACTTTGGAGGCTAAGGCAGGAAGATCACTTGAGCCTGGGAGACTGAGGCTGTAGTGAGCTATGAATGCACCACTGCACTCCACCCTGGGTGATAGAGCAAAATCCTGCCAAAAAAAAAAAAAAAAAAAAAGAATTACAACAAAAACAAAAATAAAACAAAACAAAAAAAACTGTAACTATGGCTATTTCAGCTTTCAGTGAGTTCTATGAGTCTTTCTAGAGAATTATCAAACCTTGACAGTGGTCTTGGGAAGCCTCAAATTTGCAATCGGTGTTTGAAGTGATAGTGGTCTTGTGAACCATGCCCCCTAACTTTATACTGCTACAGACTAAACAAAAGCACACAGTCGATGTAGGAATCAGAGGTTGAGAAAAAAGTATCTGAGGCTTCTGATCATATGACAAAGTTAGGTTAGAATTCCTGTTGAAGAGGTTGGATATAACAAATCCTTTTTCGTGGACCATCTGAAATTCAGAAGCTGCTGAGATAATGGTTCCTCTACATCCCCTTAGTCTGGAAAGCTGAGGTCGCATTTTTTTTTTTTATTTACTTATTTATTTTTGAGACGGAGTCTCACTCTGTTGCCCAGGCTGGAGTGCAGTGGCGCAATCTTGGCTCACTGCAATCTCTGCCTCCCAGGTTCAAGCAATTCTCCTGCCTCAGCCTCCTGAGCAGCTTGGACTACAGGCGCATGCCACCACACTAGGCTAATATTTTGTATTTTTAGTAGAGATGGAGTTTCTCCGTGATAGCCAGGATGGTCTCAATCTCCTGACCTTGTGATCTGCGCACCTCGGCCTCCCAAAGTGCCGGGATTACAGGCGTGAGCCACTGCACCCAGCCGAGAATGCATTTATAAGGTCCTAGTGAAGGTGAGTTTCCCAAGATCAAGCATTTGATCTTGGGAATCAGAGCTGAGACTAGAATTTGTCATGAATGGCGTCATGTTAGTCATTCACACAGGAAGAACATACATTGTATTTTGAGAGTGTGCACCTGATTTAAGCCCCTAGAATGATTCAGGGGGAATACTGCTGTCCATGATTCACAATAAAGGTGTTTCAAATACACAATTTAGATCTACAGGATGTTAAAAGACCAACAAGACTATAGCCTATAGCATCAGGGGGGCTATGGATCCTAGAACCGATGGCCAATGCCATAAGCATTCCTTGCTAGGATGTTGAAATGCACTATTTTATAATAATCATTGCTGTTACATAACTCTTTTCTCTGCAGTGGAAAACTATAATATCTGGAAAACTATAATATCTTTCCTTTTCCTAGACAAATACTTTGTTTTCTTAAAATGGAAAGACATATACATAACACAGTAGTCCCAGTATAGGAAGAAATAAATGACTCTAGTCATGAAGCATTTATGAGAGTCCCGGGAGGCAGATTTTCCCTTTGGGTAAAGAAGAACTTTCTTACAAATTAAAAAAGACCAGAGCTGTGATTGGCTGTTCTTCCAGGTAGGAAGTAAAAGATCCTTGTTGAAGATTCGAGCCTTCAGTGGACGACTGAATTAGACCAGTGGAGTCACTCAGGAGTTAGGAGCAAGCGCTCTGCAGCCAGACAGAGCTGGGCTGAAACCCCGGCTTTCCCTGGCCATTCCCAGTGTCACCCAGATTAGCCATCTGCCTCTGTAAGACTTGGTTTCCAAACCTGAAAAATGTGGATAGTGACAATATCTACATCACAGAGGTGTTATGAGGAGTAAGCCAGATAACACACACTGAGGGCTTTACTGTGAGCAGGTGGTTAACCAGCCTCCATTGACACCAGCTAATTTCATTTATTTTATGCCTTTTTTTTTTTTAAAGCAAATGAGTCTTTTATTAAAGACAATCTGATTGGCCAGGTGCAGTGGGTCACACCTGTAATCCCAGCACTTTGGGAGGTCGAGGCCAGTGCATCACGAGGTCAGGAGTTCGAGACCAGCCTGGCCAACATAGTGAAACCCCGTCTCCACTAAAAATACAAAATTTAGTAGGGCATGGTGGTGCGTGCCTGTAGTCCCAGCTACTCGGGAGGCTGAAGCAGGAGAATCGCTTGAACCCCGGAGGTGGAGGTTGCAGTGAGCCGAGATGACACCACTGCACTCCAGCATGAGCAACAGAGCGAGACTCCGTCTCAAAAAAAAAAAAAAAAAGAGAGAGAAAGAAAAAAGGAAAATCTGATCAATAAAGCTTAAACAAGTGTGCTATACTTTGGATGTTTGTTCCCTCCAACTCTCATGTTGGAATATGGCCCCCAAAGTTGGAGGTGGGGCTGAATGGGAGGTGTTTGGGTCCTGGGGATGGATCCCTCATGAATGGCTTGGTGCTGTCCTTGAAGTAAAGAGTTCTCACTCTATTAGTTGCTGCAAAAGCTGATTGGTAGAAAGACACAGGCACTTCCCCTCTCGCTCTCTCTCTGGCTTCTCTTGCTATGTGATCTCTGCGCATGCCAGCTCACCTTTGACTTCCGCATGAGTGGAAGCAGCGTGAGCCCTCACCGGATGCCCAGGATTCCGGCCAGCAGAATCATAAGCCAAATAACCCTTTTTTTCCTTACAAATTCTCCAGGCTCAGATATTTCTTTAGAGCAACACCAATGATCTAAGACAAAGTGAGATAGATAGAAAAAGTGTTGTTTTAGATAAAACTGAGGTGAGAATGCTCACTCTCTAGAAAGGTAGAGAAATCTACATGAGGTTTTTACTTTTTGTTCATCTCATCTGGATAAGGACATTGCCTGTGAGCATTTTCTACTCGGTCAGTGTATCAGACAAGTGTATTCACCACCAGCATCTACAGAAGGCAATTCCAGATTTATTTCTCACCCAGACAAAGAGCAGGCTCTCCGCCAGGCAGTGAGTCAGAGATCCAGGACCCCTTCTTGTCACACGGCCATCCCAACATGGCCATCCGTGGTCCCAGGGAGGAGACACACCAGCTTTTAACATCCTTGGCCAGGAAGTATCACGCATCATTTTTAGATCTGGTCACATGAACTCAACTGAAAAAATGGAAAGTGCAAGGGAGCCTGTGGGTTTACTCACTGAGCTCTGTCTCTGCCAAGGGCAGCCATCTGGGCCTTCCAAAGCGGGATGGGCCACCACACTTCTGAGATTCTGTCTGGACGCGCTGTTCCCCCTGGAACCCCCTTGTCCTGGTGTCAGGTGGCTGGGCTGTGACTTGTCGTTAAACTCAACTCAGGAATTCAATCCTCAAGACCCTGACCAGCACCAACTCTGAGGAAACACGGAGCACTTCTTCTCCCAGACGATTTTTGGCACACACTTGCATTTCAGGAATTACCTTGTGGAATCCTTGCTGTTTGCCTCTCCCTACCAGACTACAAGGTCTTTGAGGCAGGACCTGACATCCACTCAACAGATACTGATGAAGCCCCTACTGGGTTCCTGGCACCCGTGTAGGGACAGAAGGTACAGCATGAACAAGATCTGCCCTCCAGGAGGACACAGAACAAACAAGTGAAAAAGCAAGTAGGATAATTGCTGGGATTGAAGGACATATAAACTGGGGGAAGACTTCTCTGAAGAGGGGACATTTGAGAAGAAACTGAAGCTATGCAAACATGGCAAGGAAATGAGCCCCAGGCAGAGGTGACAAAAATGAAAGGCCTGAGAGAAGAAATGCCACAGCTGGCTGGGAGAGGAGGAAGGAGAGTGGTCAGACAGTTTGTGATGGGACCCCCGTGTCTTCCTGATTCCCACCAGCCTGTGACGTGTGTGACATTTGTGAGAGAGCAGGATTCAAGAGCTGTCATCCATGCAGTTATCCTCACTGAACTTTATCCAAGAGTTCTTAATTTCCAATCTTGCAGGAATACCAGCATTTTCAAAGCAAATCACCATCTTAAAATCATGGCTGATATTGAAATCTACTGAGAATTCCTTATCACTGAAAACTTAAAAGCAGAAAGGACAAAGCAGGAAGAAGGCCAGTAGGAGAGGAAAATTTGTGAAAAATTTTGAATTATAGTATTTTTAAAGGGTTATATTTTTCTGGATGTTAGTGCAATGTATAATGCAAATTAAAATGCATCTGGATACAGCTAATTAATTTTTTCTCCTTAATATCCACCTTTTTATTTTTTTATTATATATATTGATATGGTTTGGATTTGTGTCCCCATCCAAATCTCATGTTGAATTGTAATCCCCAACGTTGGAGGAGGAACCTGGTGGGAGGTGAGGCAATTGGATGATGGGGGTGTACTTCCTCCTTGCTGTTCTCGTCATAGTGAGAGAGTTCTCATGATATCTGGTTGTTTAAAAGTGTGTAGCACCTCCCCCTTTTCTCTCTTCCTCCTTCTCTGGCCATGTAAGACTTTCCTTGCTTCCCCTTCACCTTCCATCATGATTGTAAGTTTCCAGAGGCATTCCCAGCCATGCTACCTGTACAGCCTGGGAACTATGAGTCAATTACACCCTCTTTCT